>NC_000004.12:110285017-110436532 GCF_000001405.40 Homo sapiens
AAACAAAAACCCAAAAAAGCTGATTAAAAGATGGGCAAAGGACCTAAAATACATTTTTCCAAGGAAAACATACGAATGGACAACTTATGAAAAGGTGCTCAACGTCACTAATCATCAGGAAAATGCAAATCAAAACCACAATGAGACATCACCTCACACCTGTTTAGGATAGCTATTATCAAAAAGGTGAGAGGCAACAAGTGTTGATGAAGGTGTGGAGAAAAGGAAACCTTTGTCCACTGTTGATAGGAATGTAAATTGGTATAGCCATTAGGCAAAAAACTATGGAGAGTTCTGAAAAAATTAAAAATAGAGGCAAGGCATGGTGGCTTATTCCTCTAATCTCAGCACTTTGGAAGGCTGAGGCATGAGGATCACTTG
The DNA here is from genome assembly GCF_000001405.40 of Homo sapiens. Taxonomy (NCBI): domain Eukaryota; kingdom Metazoa; phylum Chordata; class Mammalia; order Primates; family Hominidae; genus Homo; species Homo sapiens. The sequence goes on from NC_000004.12 coordinate 110,285,399, forward strand.
AGCCCAGGAGTTTGAGGCTGTAGTGAGCTATGATTGTGCCACTGCACTCCAACCTGGGTGAAAGAGAGAGACCTCATCCCTAAAAAAACAGACAAAAAGGAAATAAAATCAGTATCTCGAAGTGATATCTGCACCTGCTTGTTCATTTCAGTATAATTCACAATAGATATGGAAACAATCTAAGTGTTAATTGGCAGTTAAATGGATAAAGAAAATCACACACACACACACACATACACTGTGAAATATTAGTCAGGCTTAAAAAGGAGTAAATCCTGCCATTTTTGACAACATGAATGAACTTGGAGGACATTATGTTAAGTGAAACAAGCCAGACTCAGACTCAAATATTGTATGATCTCATTTATATGCAGAATCTAAAAAAGTCCAACTCATTGAAGAAGAGAGTAGAGCAGTGACTACCAGCTGTTGTGGGGTGGGGGAAATGGGAGATGTTGGTCAAAGGTTACAAACTTTCATTTATAACATGAGTAAATTTTGGGGATCTATTGTACAGCATGATAGCTACAGTTAATAATACTGTATTGTTTACTTAAAATTTGCCAGAGAGTATGCCTTAAGTGTTCTTATCACACACACACACACACACACAGAGTACATATATATGGTGATGGATGTGTTAATTAATTTGATTTTGGTAATTATTACACAAAGTATATGTACATCAAATCAACAAGTTGAACACGTTAAATAGATATAATTTTTCTTTGTCAATTATACCTCAATAAAGCTGAAAAAAAAGAAATATAACATGAGTCACAAACGTGAGCCACATTGTAATTCTAAATGTTCTAATAGTCACATGAAAGAAGTAAAAAAAGTAAAATTAATTTTAATAATATATTCTATTTACTAGTATATTAAAATCATTACCATTTAAATATGTATTCAGTATAAAATTATTAATGAGATAGTTTACTTTTTTAAAAATATTAAGCCTTGGAATAAGTATGTATTTTACACTCATAATACATCTCAGTTTGGACAGGCCTCACACTTCAAATGCTCAGTGTGTACCGTATAGGACAGTGTATCTTTAGATCACTGTTGTCAATATAAAAACAAAATATGTGAAAATCTTTATTATAACAATTGAATTCATGATTTTCCTCAAATGAAGGCAAAGAAATAAAATTTTATGAAATAAGTATACTATAAAATGATTTATATGGTGTATGTGTCCTTATTTTATTATTCAACTACACATCAATAGAATACTCAGATATACACACGTGTGAATATATTAGTTGTCTTTGATGTTTTTCAGGCACATAAAAAGCATAACTTTACATGTTTTTTTACTTAGTCACTATAAAGTTATATTTATCAAGGTAGGCACCTAAAACATTTTATTTATTTATTTATTTTTAAAGTAACCAGTTTATTTTGTTTTATTGGAGGGTGTTGATTGGGCATTTTGTTTTGTTTTGTTTTGTTTTGCTTTGTTTTAGAGTCGGAGTTTTGCTCTGTCATCCTGGCTGGAGTGCAGTGGAACGAACATAGCTTACTGTAGCCTCGAACTTCTGGGCCCAAGGGATCCTCCTGCCTTAGCTTCTGGAGTAGGGGGCACTAGAGGCGCATGCCACCCCACCTGGCTAACATTTTATTTAAGAGTTTACTAGGCCAGGCACAGTGGCTCATGCCTGTAATCCCAGCATTTGTGAGGCTGAGATGGGAGGATTCTTTGAGGCCAGGAGTTCGAGACCAGCCTGGTCAACATAGTGAGACCCCATCTCTAAGAAAAAAAGGTTTGCTAACTTGATTTCCAACACTTAAATATTTGGGCATATAGTAGGCATTCATCTATAACCTTGCCACAGGCCCTGCAAAAGTTGGACTTGGGCCTGGCTTGGAACTCTGCTTTCAAATGTTGGCATGACTCATTCCCTCACTCCTTTGAGAATGAGCTCAAATTTCGTTTTGTCAGTGAGAACCGAAACTGTATACACCCACATAGCTTACTGTGTATATTTACAGGCCTTTGTTATTCTAGGTTTCATCAACATAGCTTTACTATTCTAGGAAACTCTTGCTGAAGAAGATAAAAGTTGTGAATAACATTATCATTCATTTCAGCAATGTCCCAAAAGGCCATCAACTCTTCATGAAAAGCATCAATTTGTTCCTCCAGTCATGGGAGCCATATCAAAACTACAGTTGAAACCCCAAGACTGCTTGAACCCAAGACTCTTTGAAAACCTTGCCTTTACATCTTCACTTTGCTGTGACCACGAATCTTAAACTATTAAGTCATAATCCTTACAGAGTGTTAATTAAGCACTGATATCGGATAAGATCTGTCTTAAACTGACTTAGAGTCCCAGTAAATATCCTGACTTTGTTCTCCCTCTTCTGAGATGCTCTAAGATTCTGTGGAGGGAGTACTCCCTTCCCAAGATCAATATAAGCTCAGCTTTGTCTTTTCGACAGGTTGTCATAGTGATAATTTGGGGAGCCAGCATTCAGGATCAGTAAGTCTTTCTCTGAACATTCTTTTTTTTTTATTTTTTTTTTGAGAAGGAAGTCTTGCTCTGTCACCCAGGCTGGAGTGCAGTGGCGTGATTTCGGCTCACTGCGACCTCCCAGGTTCAAGGGTTCAAGCGATTCTCCTGCCTCAATATCCTGAGTAGCTGGGATTACAGGTGCCTGCTTACCACGCCTGGCTAATTTTTGCATTTTGAGTAGAGACGGGGTTTCACCATGTTGGCCAGGCTGGTCTTGAACTCCTGACCTCAGGTTTTCTACCCGCCTTGGCCTCTCAAAGTGCTGGGATTATAGGCATGAGCCACCATGCCAGGCCTGGTCTTGAACTCCTGACCTCAAGTGATCCACCTGCCTCGGCCTCCCAAAGTGCTGTGATTACAGGCGTGAGCCACCGCGCCCAGCCTAGTCAAATTGTTTTATATAAGAGAATGTTAATCAAATTTTCTGATCAGGTGATTTTTCAAAAGCTAAAGCATTATATCAGAGCTTATATCAGTAAGAGTAGCCGGGGATGTAGAGGATATTCTAAGCATAAATCTTTCTGATGATCTGGCTTTATCCCAGAGATGTGAAATTAATAACACATCAGGGTATAAAGAGAATATTCTTTCCACATGAATATCATTTCTCATAAAGGAGTTTTTACAGAAAATTAGCAACTTCTCTGGAATTAAAGGAACATCGCTCTGTTACCCAGGCTGGAGTACAGTGGCGAGATCATAGCTCACTGCAGGCTTGACCTCTCAGGCTTAAGCAATCCTCCTGCTTCAGCCTCCTGAGTAGCTGGGACTACAGATGTGCACCACCGCACCCAACTAATCTTTAAATTTTTAATTTTTTGTAGAGACGGGGTCCAACTATGTTGCCCAGGCTGGTCTCAAACTCCTGGGCTCAAGCAGTTGTCCACAGGCTGCAGTTTTAGTTCATACAGAATTGTCCTCAAAGAATGTCATAGTCTGGGCTACATTTTGGACTTATTTCCCTTTCTTCTTTATGGGGGATGTTCAATCTGTGATTTTCTGAGTTCCTCAGATGAAAGGCTTCTGCAAGTCTGTGAAGGTTTTTTAAAGTCTTGAATTTAAGATGAAGAATTGTTGAAATTAGTCTGGGACATCTGCTTTGATGAAGAGTCTTGACAGCCAATCAAAAGATAGCAGGTTTTCAGCTTCTCTTTTTAGAACCAAGACTATCTTGAACTTACTCTCTTTGAGCAGGATTTTTCTCTTCATCATTTAACACGGAAAGAAAAAAGGGATGGAACAGGGTGAATTGAAGCTCACAAGGACATGCTTGAAGAATTATGGGTGTACAAGCAAACTTCAGGGTAGGAGAAAAAAGAATCATGGGCGAATGCTTCCTTTAACATTTTACTAAGTGGGGTTTGGAAGGCAAGAGAGAGGTGAGGAAAAGACCTGAATCAATAGAATGGATGTAGAGTATGTGTTACTCAGGGTCCAATAAGGAAAGGAGAAACCATAACAATTATTTTAACAAGGAAGTTTAACATAGGGAATTGAGCCAGGTGCAGTGGCTACGCCTGTAATCCTAGCACTTTGGGACGATGAGGCGGGCAGATCACTTGAGGTCAGGAGTTTGAAACTAGCCTGGCCAGCATGGTGAACTCCATCTCTACTAAAAATACAAAAAAAAAAAAATGCCTGGAGTGGTGGTGGGTGCCTGTAATCCCAGCTACTTGGGAGGCTGAGGCAGGAGAATCGCTTGAATCTGGGAGGTGGAGGTTGCAGTGAGCCAAGATCCTGCCACTGCACTCCAGCCTGAGTGACAGAGTGAAACTCCATCTCAGAAAAAAAAGGCTGGGGGGTGGAACTGGTTAAAAGGGTATTGGAGGGAATTCAGATAACACAGAGAGTAACTGCAGGAAGCAGCTTGCATTCCATAGTAGTGGTAGAACCAAGAGAAAAGACTGGGGTTCTCAAAAGCTTATGCGCTTGAAGGAGAGGCACTGTTAGAGCTGCTTGGCTTGTGCTGTTATCTCTTGGCTTGTGATAGGTATCATTATGAGGCTAGTTCTAATAGGTGGAAAAAAGCTAGAATCTGGAATCATTTGCTTCTGCAACCAGCTGTGCTTCTGGGGTGAGGATGCATTTCTGTGGTGACCAGAGAATAATAGAAAGCAAATAGAAAATTGTGAATTCCTTCTCCCTCCTCCTGCTTTCTTGTCTCCCTCTAGTTTCTTCTACCAGAAGAACTTAACAGGAAAACAGATGGTAAAGGAGAAAAGTGTTTGCAGAATCCTAGTCCCAGCATCACAGAGCTAGAAGAGAAGGTTTGAAGCTGAGAGACAATAGCTTAGTAACTAACACAGAGATGCCAGATGTGGATACAAAGAGAAGAAAAATCTGAAGACTGAATTATGAGAGAAAAACTAAGAACTAGAGAGGAGATACATTTAAAGATGTATTTAAGAAAACTACATTAACTGACAGTGCATTTTGGAGTAGGGTTGCAATAAAGTGCTGTGATTTTATTTCACTCTGAGTATGGAGTAGTAGTTCAGCCCACCCAACAGGGTCAATCCAGTCACAGTTGCCTTACTTGTAGATAAAATGAAGTAAGATAAGCCTTAGCTAAAATAAAGCAGCCAAATAAAAAAAATAGAAACTATTAATACATTTAATAGATTCTCAAATGGTCAGGGCTCTTCCCTGCTTTTTTTTTTTCTAAAGTAAAAGCAACCAAAAAAATAGAAAATACTTGTATTGTTAAGACTAAGATGATAGTGAACAAGGCCACTCATACTAGAGAGTATTTATGGGAAATGTTTTTGTATGGAACCAGATAATTTAATAATAGCCACTGTAATGGGTGATCTCAGACAAATAACATCTTTGGGTCTTTTTTTCTTCTTTGTAATACATGAATTGAACTAAATGAGTTTTACCCTCTCTTTTAGCTTTTGACTGTTTATGTATATTAAAATGACTGCTTTTCCCCCAAAGAGCTATTATCTCAGGTATTTATAGTCTAAACCCAGAGAACGGGAGATTCTCTTTTAGTTTTGATTTTATCATTCTTGAGAAACGTTTTTGTTAACACTTTGGAAAATATAACCACAGCGTGCGGAACTGAGCAATAGCAGGCTTCTATTTCATTCCCAAATCCTTGGATAACAGGATTCAGTGAACGGCAATGGTACCAAAAATTATGAAAGTGATGAGTCAAGACAAGTACACATGGCACCCAAGGAAATCTCAGTTTTAATTTCATGATGTGACAAGTTCCGTGCCAATTTTCTCTGTTAGATAATATATTCAGTGTTTTGAGAATTCCAGGCACTTGAAAATCTTTTCAACAAGAACACTATAAAAAAATACAAAGAGCCATTTGAAAAATTAGTTTTTGACTACAAAAATCTTAACTATGTGAGGTAATAAATATGCTGATTGGCTAGATCTACTCATTCCATAATGCATATATACTTCAAAACATCGTGGTGTACATGATACATATAATTTTTTCTGTCAATTAAAAAAAATAAGGTTATTTATTAAATAAATACATGGAGAGACATACAATGTTCATAGATTGAAATGTCCAGAATAATAAAGATGGTTTTTGCTGTCTGCCTGGGATGGCCCTGCACGTCTACATAGCTGGTGCCCTGGTGATTGTGGCACAGCTGCCTGAGGAGCTGCCTGAGGAGGGGTGGTGCCTTCCCAGAGCCGGGTCCCCACGAGTGAGTGGAAGTTCAGCAGGCAGGGTCTTGTGGAGAAGCAACAGAGAATAAAGGCCTGGAAATCTCCCAGATAGACCTGAAGTTACAGGCCCACCTCTACACCCATGGCAAGATGTGGAAGTATTGCAGCTTGGACACCGATACCAAGTCATGAGTCTTGCCATGGAATAAAATCTGCTGCATCTGCCTGGTGCAGATCACCTATTCTGAAACACCTCCAACCTGTCCTGCCACCTGAAGGAGATGACCTCTAAGAGTTTTACAGTCACCCAGCAGATGTGGGAAGCCTTCACTCCCACCTCCTCCAAACCGAAGCCCAAGTCATCCCAGCAGTTGTCGCAGGACCCACTGGCCACAAAGGCTGGCCACAGTGATGAGAGCAAGCAGTAGCAGGAACTGATGGCCACGTCCTTGGGCTCATATGCAAGGGGCAAGGATATCCAGTGAGGACGAGCCCACTTTCAAGGTGCTGGCCGACCCCAGGTACCAGCTCCTGAGCAGGAAGTACATCTCCACCAAGGCCATCCCTGAGAAGCATGGAGGGTCAGAGAGGTGATCCTGAAGAAGCCAGCCAACGCCTTTTGGTGTGGCATCTCCAGGGGCAAGTGGAGGAGTGAGAACCAGAATCGAGTCTTGGTGATATTGGCTGTCCAGTTCCTCGGTGTTAGCTCCCCCGACAGCCTGTATGTGGGTTCCGGTGCCTGAAGACATTTGAGGTGCTCGAAAAGAACACAGCGGAAACCATCATGCCGGTGCTCTTCATCAAATGGGGCATCAACATCAAGGAGTGCAGGGCCACCACCGACTATGGCAAGGACATCATGAAGGTGTGCCCCTTGCTCAACATTGCTGTTCAAATGCCTTACTTGTGCAGACCTCCTATGCTGGCATCAGCAGGCTTTCCAGCTCCCTAAACTGGAGAGCCTGCTCTCTTGGTGCTGTCCACCGGTGGACTACTTCCAGCAGCCCACCATGGCCTTTGACATGCTCTTGTGGAGAAGCAGACACAGCAAAACAGGGACACTGCATGCTGGTGAGCAATCATCTCCTGGTGGGGAAGCATACTGGCCATGCTGCAGCCGCTCAAAGAGCAGCAGTGCGTCATCCCTGGTGTATCTGAAGACAGCAACAATCACAACCTGATGTTGGAGGCTACCAAGTGGTCCACCATCCAGGGGCTGGTGGAATTCCTGCAGCTCTGCAAGCAAGTGGCCAAGATACTGTCTGCCTTGAAGTATCCCACCATCAGCACAGTGAAACTGCTGTTTCACATGCTGCTAAATACCACGTTCAACAACAAGGAGACTGACTCCAAGGAGATCCCCATGGCCAAGAGGGTGATTGCCAAGGAGCTCTACAAGACCTGCTAGGAGACGCCTGAAATGGGCATGTTTCCAAATGTCACCATCTTCCTGGACCCACGCTACAAGAGGCTGCCCTTCCTGCTTGTCTTCGAGAGGCAGCAGATGGAGAACTCTGTGGTCAGGGGCCAAGGCCTCCTGGACAACGTCAAAGACGGCAGCTACCGGCTGGCCAATGCAAGATCTACCCTTTGCCGGAAAAACGTCCCGTGAAGAAGCTCACGGGGACGTCGGTGCCTCAGCCCTCCTGCATGATCAACAGCATGCTGGCTGAGATCTGCCGCCAGACCAGCGGCCTGGAGGACCAGGAGGAAGGGCATGCCCAGGTGGTGGAGGAGATGAGGGACTTCAAGTTTTAGAAGGTGCTTGGCCACCTGCGTTGTGCTGGAGCATCTCTTTGGCTCCGCAGCCAAATGGTCAACACCAAGAGGAACCGGCTGGCCCCTAACAAGCAGGTCTTTCTGTACCTGAACGAGCTTAACCAGGCAGAGGCGGAGGCAGAGCCCGAGGCCCAGGACAAAAAGCAGTGGGGCTTGGATAGAGAGCAGGTGTTCCCTTGGGAAACGGTGTCAGCCAAGCTTCTTTGGCATCTGGGATAGTGGCTTCCTATAGAGAGGAAGCCTTGTCTTATGAGTCATAGCCTCGAGGTAGTCTGTTGGATGCATTGCTTGTAAATACTGTAAATATAGCTTGGTTTTGAACCTCAAAGACCAACCGTGGCCTTTGAAATCTAAAGGGAAAGGCGGAAAACAGAAAGAGATGTTAGAAGAAAGAGATAAAGGCTTTGGGTTGATGGGTCCTCTTCTCCTCTGGTCCATCAGGCAACTCCTGCTTGGGAGTTGCCAAGGGGAAACTCCCCAAGGACAGCAGAACCTGGAGGAGGTTTTGGATCACAGACACTTGGGACATGGCACAGGCACACCATTTGCGATTTCTGATTGAAGTTCTTCCTGGGAGGGTTTAGAATAAATCCAAGAAAATTCTGGGTGGAATCATCTGAGGGATTTTGGAGATCTCTAGATGAATGAATTCATGTTTACTTTTTTTTGAAATGGGGTCTCACTCTGTAGCCCAGGCTGGAGTGCAGAGATGTGTTCTTGGCTCACTGCAAGCTTCGCCTCCAAGGTTGAAGTGATTCTCATGCCTCAGCCTCCTGAGTAGCTGGGATTACAGGTGTGTACCACCACACCTGGCTAATTTTTGTATTTTTAGTAGAGGTGGGGTTTCACCATGTTGGCCAGGTTGGTCTCGAACTCCTGACCTCAAGTGATCCACCTGTCTCAGACTCCCAAATTGCTGGGATTACAGGCATGAGTCACCGCGCCCGGCGATGTTTACATTTTAATGGAAGCAGAGACCATGCTTCTGGGAGATTTGAAAGAGATCCTTTAGCCCAAATGTCCTTCCTGCAAAAGAGAGATCAGTTTTATGTTTGGTTAAACGTGTGAATAATGAGCAAAAAATGCAGGCACTTTTAAAACACAGGGGAAAAAAGGCCTTGAATGTGTTGTATTTTTGGCATGTTGCAGGCAATTAGTCTTTTTATCTCAAAATTCACTTTGTAGACTTGGTTCCTGAAAGACAAGTCAGGCCAGGCGCAGTGGCTCATGCCTGTAATCCCACCAGTTTAGGAGGCTGAGGCGGGCGGATCACCTGAGGTCAGGAGTTCGAGACCAGCCTGGCTAATATGGCGAAACCCCGTCTCTACTAAAAACTACAAAAATTAGCTGGGCGTGGTGGCGAACGCTTATAATCCCAGCTACTTGGGAGGCTGAGGCAGGAGAATCACTTGAACCTGGGAGGCAGAGGTTGCAGTGAGCCAAGATCGCGCCATTGTACTCTAACCTGGATGACAAGAGTGAAAAACTCCATCTCAAAAAAATAAATAAATAAATAAAGTCTCTTAAGAGTTCCTGGTTTTCTTGTGTGTCTGGTGCCTGAATGCTTCAGTGTCCCAAGAATCACATTTTTTGGGGGGTTGGAGGTGGCTGTGTGAGAATAAGACCCCTCCTTTCAAGTGCTATTTTAAAACTTGCACACAGCAGGCTTTTTGGCATCAATAGGGGTGTTTTAGATTTGATTGCTGGAAAGAATTCTTGAATTCTCTCTTTTCAACTCAATACTATAGGGGAAAACTACCACTGATAGTTTCACTATGGGGGTCCTTATGGGTTGCTTCTAATGATTCAGGGAAACAGACAATTTCCAATACTTAGAAATACTTTTTAATCTGGAGAAAAAAATACTTCCACTGAGTGACAGCCTTGCTCCACCAGAATCAGCACATCTCTTCAATTTCCATGTGGGATGATTCTGTGCCTCCGTGAATACAAGCCAGGTTGGAAAGGTCAGTGTATAGAGAGGAATGAAGTTTAGAAATGACACATTTCAGGTATTGGCAATATTCTGCTGGAACCCCAAGATCTGATTGGATCATGAAGTTTAAGCAGGAAACACCTGCGTTTAATGGCTGGTGACTTTCCGTGGCTGCAAGCAGTGTAGAATTTTATGTCCCCAGTGGCTGTGTGTTTGTAGAAAATTGTGTGGGAGAAAGTTACTTAACCTGTGCTTTGTTTTTAAGGAAAGTGATTTCTCCACAAACTTTCAACCATCAGCTCTGAGTGTTCTCAGTAGAAGGGTGGCCAGAAGGGACATAATGGGGCATGCTTTGGGATTTGTCTCCCTTCTGCTCAGAGGCTGGAAATGCAGGGCAGCACATGCCTCCGTGGGCTCTATTTTGTAGCACTGCAAATGTTCCCTTCACATTTCTTAAAATCATTTGCTTTTTGTAATTCATTATGAAAATGTGTATTGCTCCAATGAGCTGCCTCTGTCTGTCTCATTTTTATTTTTAAGTCATTGTTGCCCTCCTTATTGGTTATCTTTTCTTTATTTAATGTTTTAAAATTTGACTCATTTGATAAACCAGAGAAATAAATTAGCTCCTAATTTTAAAAAATAGCAAATATAATAATCCCCACCCAAGTAAAATTAATTTTTGAACTTCTGAAATAGAAATTCTGGAGAGGGAAGATGTTTTTCTATCAGTGTTCTGCTGTTTTCTGTTTGCTTACGGCATCATTTGTTTTCCTTAAGTTACTATTTCTTAAGCCTGAGAACCACGGATACCTGAAACTATATCTGCAGACTCCAGTAGGAGAAGTCTATTTTAAGTCATACCATAAACTTATCAATGAATCAGAGGAGAGATTATCCTGATGACCTAGCAAGAATCAATGAGATTTTTTGCACTGTCACAGATAAGTTATTGGTTTGTTACTATCTTTGTTTTGTTTGTTGTATTAATTTGTTACTATTTATTGTTGGCATGCAGGAATGGAAAAACAGAATGAAAGTTATTTCTCCTGTTGTGTTTCTGGATGTCAAGCCAGCTCTCTGTGTTCTGAATGTGTCATGTCCACTGAGATATACTGAGATTGTTTTGAAGAAAGAGAGAAAGGAAGCATTCGCTTGCCCAGAATAAGAGAGCGATGTGGGGTTACTTTGGGAAGAGGGTTGTGGGCTCACCTTGGGAAGATACATGGATTTATAGAAACTAGAAGGCTTGAAGGGGCAGGGAGTGGTGGGTACTGTGGGGAGACCGGTGCACTGGTCTGATGGTGTTGACTGTGTGGATGCCTGGGAACCCGGCATTCTCATCTGGGACAGGTAGACGCAGACATCAGCAGTGACCATATGGACCGCACACCAGATCTTCCTCAATTTTCCCAAGTTGTATAAATACTAGGAGTCTTATACAAGATTAAGAGAGAGGTAAGGGACTCAAAAGTGATCCATATTGGATTTCCTTCCAACAAGTGCTATTAATAACTAGGGAAATAAAGTTCTATGAGCAACGAATTCATACCTTACAAATGGTACACACTTGCTGAAGGGCACAGAGAGGTGTTATAATCTAACTGTAGAAAAGTTTTCTTACTAATAATTTTAAATTTATAAATCTATCTATAATTTCTGAACTCATAACATGCAGCTAGTATGATTAGACACTTATGAAAAAGAAATTAACAACAACAATAATAATGAAAAACAATAATGGAACTTTGTGGTTTGCAGAATACTTTCACAATCATCATCTCTTTTCATCTTCCAACAATTATATGAGGTGTCATTTTTCCTCGCTTATAAGTAAAAAAGATGAAGACCAAAAGGTTACTTGAGCTACTTTGCATAGTTACAAAATGAATAAATCTATGAGTCAGATGTTGCCAACCAGGTACCTTTGAACTCAATACTGTTAGGGTTCTCATTTTACAAAAGAGGAAACCAAGGCTCAGAAAAATGAAATACGTTTCTAGAGAGATCTCACAATCCCTTGCATATGGCATAATTAGCATCTATAACTCTAAACTTTACCACGATGACAAACTCTGGACAAAGAGGGTGAAGGGAAAGACTTCCAGGAGAAAGAACAGCTTTCAGGAAGTACTGAAGTGAGAGAGAAAGAGAATATATTCTACCTCCCCTCACCAGCTTTTTATTTTGAAGTGTTTTAACTCAGAGACAAGTTACGACTCTTTGAATGAGCATCCCTCCCTTAGATTCAAAACTTCAACATTTTGCCAAATTTGAAAATAAATTGAAAAGGTGTACAAAGATACAGTTAGATGGAATAAGTTCTAGTATTTGATAACACAGTAGGGAAATTATAGTTAACAATAATGTATATTTCAAAATAACTAAAAGAGAAGAATTGCAACGTTCCCAACACAAAGAAAAGATAAATGTTTGAGGTGATGAATATCCAAATGATCTGGATTTGATCATTACACATTGTATACAGGTATGAAAATATCACATGTACCCCCAAACATGTATAGCTGTTATATATCAATAAGAATTATAAAAAAGAAAATAAGTTGCAGATGTAATTACATTTCGCCTTTGAATACTTCTCCATGCCCTTTTAACAATATGGCTGTTTTTGTAAAAGAAAGTTGTGAGCTGAGTTTTGAAGAAGAAAAAGAATGTATTTTAATTAAAAAAAGTAGGGACACATTATTATACTACTGCTTTAATCACTGATACATGAAACAGAATAAGTCTGACTTTTTTAGGGTGTCGTTTAGCTTTTGGGAAATAATAACTATTTTATCTTAATTTTAATGTGTGTATGTGTATTTGCAAATGTGTGTGTGTGCATGCATATGTGTAATTTGCACACACCATTGCTATTGATTTTCCTAATAGGCTTTGGAGATAATTAAGGCTGTTTTTTTTTTAAATCAAGTAAGATATCTGAGATGATAGAAGCTTAAAAAAAAGACCCCAGGTCATTCACATATTCGGCAAATACCTGAGCAAGCTAGGTCTTAGGTTGCTGCAAACAACGTTCCTCCAAATATTCCCAGCTTCTGTAAATGTACAGGTTGTATCCAAAAAGAATTCTATAAACCGGGAGATTTTGGCTTAGTTATGTCTCTAGATGCATACTTCTTGGTTGACTGTTTACTTTTTAAAACATTTTACTTAGCTTTCTGTTAACTCGAAACATTGTATGTATGCATGTATGTATGTATGTATGCATGCATGCATGCATGTATGTATGTATGTATGTATGTATGTATGTATTTACTTATGAAGGAGTGTCGCTCTGTCACCCAGGCCGGAGTGCAGTGGCACGATTTCAGCTTACTGCAACCTCTGCCTTCTGGGTTCACGCATTCTCCTGCCTCAGCCTCCCGAGTAGCTGGGATTACGGGCATCCACCACCACACCCAGCTAATTTTTGTATTTTTAGTAGAGATGGGGTTTCACCATGTTGGCCAGGCTGGTTTTGAATTCCTGACCTCAAGTGATTCACCCACCTTGGCCTCCCAAAGTGCTGGGATTACAGGCATGAGCCACCACCCCTGGCGGAAACATTGTATTTGAAACTTCAGTCTTTGAGCTGCTGTCATAGCTCTTGCATGCAAGCACAGCATTCCCCTATGCTGTCAATGCAATTGGTTCTTGAGGTCTTCATAGTAAACACAATACACATGCTATGCCAGTGTGGGGTTTTAACAGCTCTGGGTAGCTCTTTGCATATAGATGTAGAAAGGTGAAAGAAAAGTGGAAACATACCTATATTTCTGGGTAAATATTTAGAGATGAACAATGAACCAAGTGTTCAATGGACAGTTTGCATATGTGATAAAAATGTTTCAATAGAAATAGGATGGCTAGACACTTGCCAGAGAATCTGATGGCCTGGGTTCTCTTAAAGGCTTGTCATTGACACCTAATGCTTCTTCAATTTTGTCATTTGTCTCCAAATAAGGAAACAACCAACATAAGGTTTTCTAATTGCTATAGACATGTGGAGAGAAATCTTATTTTTTTTGCGTAGAGTTTTTGAGGTCCTGATAAAGTTATTAACAAAGGTTGCATTCTCCTCACATTTTTTTTTTCCTGAATTAGGTATAGAGAAATAGAGTATTGAATCTTTTTCTTTCATTTTTAGATAATTCAGTGAAACTTAGTCCTGGTCATGAGGGACAATGAGCTATGAGTAAAGAGAGAAAAAGAGGAGCTGAAAAGACCCAGTCTTCTGGATTTCTTAGAGGCACAAATTTCTGACTGGTTGTAAACCCTGCCAACTAACCGTAGTCAAAAAAACAAAAACAAAAACAAAAACAAAACGAGAAAGAGGAAGGAGGAAGAAGAAGAGAGGAGGAGAGGAGAGGAGAGGGGAGGAAAGACGGAGAGAAAGAGAACACAACAAGGAGGATATTTTCTTTTATGGACCAAAGAGGATGGCCTTGTAGATGATCCTGAGGCCAGGCAGGGAGCAGTGATGACTTAGATAACAGAGAGGAGCCACTGTGGAACTACCAGTCTGATCCATAGAATATATGGATGAAGAATTCGATCTAAACCTGAGGTCAAAGGCTATTCAGTGCTTTAGAGTGCCACGTGTTCATGCCTGCCATGAACTAACTGTGAGATTGTTCCTACTGGATTTTTACCATTTCTTTCTTTCACAAATATACTGAGGCAAGTAATAGACCTAGGCTCACAATATAGTACATGCCTAATAGGGAGAAACATTCATTTCATCCTGTGGGTTCGATGGTGGGAAGAAAAAGATCATGGGCATTTAAAATCAAGCATAAGAAATGGCAAGGAGTCTAGGGAGGTAGGAAGAGGCCTGGTAATACAAGATCTCACATGCTGTGCTCAGGAGCTCACACTGTTTTCTATAGATGATAGGGAGCTACTCAAGGGTTTAAAGAGAGAAGTAGCAGGGTCAGAGTTTAGTTTTAGGTATTCAGTTGGGGGAAACATGCGGGAAAGTGGACTGGAGTCTGGTGGCTAATGCAATAGTCCAGATGAGAAATAAGGCCTGTGGCTGAGCGTGGTGGCTCACACCTGTAATCCTAGCACTTTGGGAGGCCAAGGTGGGTGGATTACTTAAGGCCAGGAGTTCAAGACCAGCCTAGCCAACATGGTGAAACCCCATCTGTACCAAAAAAAAAAAAAAAAAATTAGCTGGACATAGTGGTGCTCCATTGTAGTCCCAGCTATGGAGGAGGCTGAGGCAAGAGAATCACTTGATCCCAGGAAGCGGAGGTTGCAGTAAGCCGAGGTTGTGCCACTGCACTCCAGCCTGGGAAAGAGCAAGACTCTGTCTCAAAAAAAAAAAAAAAAAAAAAAAGAAAGAAAAAAAGAAAGAAGGGCCTGAATTGGGGGAAGTGTAGTAGATTTACAAAAGAGGAAGAGCACACTAGAAATAATTATGGGGTAAAATTACAGACCTTTATGATAAAATTATTTTAATTTTATTAATAGGAAATTAATTATATTATAATTATAACATCAATGAATAGAGAAGAGGGAATTTTTTTAAATGACCCCAGCTTATTGGGTAAAGGAAGTTGTCATTTACTGAGACAAGACAGAAAGACTAGCTGTGCTCACCAGGGTAAGGAGGTGGGAGGGCAGTGGAGGGAGTGGGTTGAGATGATCTATTCAGTTTTGGACCTGTTGAATTGAATGTATTAAATAGGCACGTAGAGATGTCCATCAGGAAGTTGGGGATGAGTCTAAAACTTAGAGGTGAGGTCAGAATTGTAAATAAGAATTAGAAGTCATTTGCACTATGGGTGCTAGTTAAAATTATGAGTATGGATAAGATCAGCTAGGGAGATTATTTTTAGCAAGAAGCATTATATAGACTGAGGAATAAAACCTGGGATAAGATTATTCCAACTATGTTTTAAGACTGA
This sequence comes from Homo sapiens, assembly GCF_000001405.40. Lineage (NCBI taxonomy): Eukaryota > Metazoa > Chordata > Mammalia > Primates > Hominidae > Homo > Homo sapiens. The sequence continues at coordinate 110,301,193 of NC_000004.12, forward strand.
TTAGAGGATAATGAAGTCAATATAGTGACTCTGGAGAGTAGTCATTTTTCTTTTTTACTTTAAACACTATTTTTGAGGTATAGTTTATATATAGTAAAATGCAGTCATTTTAAGTGTTGAATGCAGTGAGTTGCAAGACTTGTATAAACCTGCATAACCATGACCCAAAGAAATTATAGTACCTTGCCATTGTACCCACCCCGAGTGATCTGCTGCCCTTTTCTAGCCAATCCCCCCACAAAAGGAAGCCACATTCTGATTTGTATCACCATAGATTGATTTGGCCTGTGCTATAATTTCATACTAATGGAATACAGTTTGTCCTCCTTTGTTTTTGGCTTTTTTTACTCAACATAAAGTTTTGAGATTTGTTTTCATTGCTTTCATGTCTTAGCAGTCTTTTATATTGCTGAATAGTAATCCTTGAATTAACACACCACAAAATGTTTTGTCATTTGAGTTTGGAAGTCTGGCACATTTTTCATTATATTTATTCCAATGTGTTTCAGGTTTTCTGATGCATATGGCAATTATCTTTTTAAAAATTTTGTTTTCTAGTTGCTATTGCTACTATGCAGAAATAGGATAGATTTTGGAGGAAGCAGTTTTATGAGATATAATTCATATTCCATACAATTGACTAATTTAAAGTGTATAATTCAAAGGTCTTCAGTATATTTACAGAGTTGTGCAACCATCCCCACAATTAATTCTAGAATATTTTCACTGCCTCAAAAAGAAAGCCTGGGCAGGGCATGGTGGCTCACGCCTGTAATCCCAGCACTTTGGGAGGCCGAGGCGGGTGGATCACTTGAGAGCAGGAGTTGGAGACCAGCCTAGCCAACATGGTGAAATCCTGTCTCTACTAAAAATACAAAAATCAGCTGGGTGTGGTGGCAGGCACCCATAATCCCAGCTACTCAGGAGGCTGAGGCAGGAGAATCACTTGAACCCGGGAGGCGGAAGTTGCAGTGAGCTGAGATCGCGGCATTGCACTCCAGCCTGGTTGACAAGAGTGAAACTGCATCTCAAAAAAAAGAAAAAAAAAAAAAGAGAAAGCCTGTACACATCATTAGCTATCACTTCCCAATCCCCTCCTTGCCTCCAGCCCTAAGAAACTGTGAATCTACTTTCTTTCTGCCTATTTTGGACATTTCATGGAAGTGGAATCATATACCAGGTAGTCTTTTGTGACTGGTTTCCTTTACTTAGCATAATGTTTCATCCATGTTGCATATGTGTCAGTACTTCATTACTTTTTATAGACAAATATTCTATTGTACATATACATCACACTTTGTTTATCCATTTATTAGTTGATGGACACCTTGGGTTGTGTCTCTTTTGACTATTATGAAGAGTGTTACTGTAAGCATTGGTGTACAAGATTTGGGATGGACATATGTTTTCATTTCTCAAGGGAACATACCTAGGTATACATAAGGATTCTCATGGGTGTACATCTAGAAGTGCAAGGTCAAATTGTAACTCTATAAACTTTTGGAAGAACTGCTGGACTCTTTTTTCAAAGTGGCTGCAGTTTTACATTTCTATTTTATACTTCTATTAGTAGTTTATGAAGATTCCAACTTCTCTACATCCTTGGCAACACTTGTTATTTATTTTTATTTTATTTTTTGTAGAACGGAGTCTCACTATGTTGCCCAAGTTGTTCTCCAACTCCTGGTCTCAAGTGATCCTCCTACCTCAGCCTCCCAAAATGTTGGGATTACAGGCATGAGCCACTGCACCCAGCCAACACTTGTTATTTATTTATTTTTGGGACAGTTAGATTTCACAGATGCCAAAACTTGAATGAGATCTGCCGAGGCTTCTTGATGAGCATTTGAAAACCACTTTCACTGCTTTTGTGGCAGGAAAATAGGGTCTGGAGGCAGGGAATATAAGGCCGATTCACACTTCAGCTATGACAGGAAATATTTTCCTCATAGGGTATATGCCGAGTAAATGACTTTGCACCTTTACTTCATCCTCTCAAATTACATCGGGTGTATACCAAGTAACCAATGGAATCCTCTAGAGGGTATTAAAACTCCCCAAAATTCTGTAACAGGGCCCTTGAGCCCCTATGCTTGGGCCCGCTCCCACACTGTGGAGTGTACTTTCTTTCTTTTTTTTTTTTTTTGAGACAGAGTCTTGCTCTGTCACCCAGGCTGGAATGCAATGGCGTGATCTCGGCTCATTGCAACCTCCGCCTCCCAGGTTCAAGCGATTCTCCTGCCTCAACCTCCTGAGTAGCTGGGATTACAGGTGTGTGCTACCATGCCGGGCTAATTTTTGTACTTTTTAGTAGAGTACAGGGTTTCACCATGGTGGTCAGGCTGGTCTTGAACTCCTGACCTTGTGATCCGCCAGCCTTGGCCTCCCAAAGTGCTGGGATTACAGGCGTGAGCCACCGCGTCCAGCCTGTACTTCCATTTTCAATAAATCTCTTTGCTCCTTTCTTGCTTTGTGCGTTTTGTCCAGTTCTTTGTTCAAGACACCAAGAACCTGGACACTCTCCACTGGTAACATTTTGAAGTGAATTCGTTGATGGAAACGTTTTCAGCTTCAAAATTCCACGTTTTGTCACGAACTTTAAGTGGATAACCTGTTTCCTTAGTGCTTCAGGTTGTGGTCATGAGTGTTAGTTTCACCTTTCCTGACCTTTGGTGGTGAGTTCCCTGAACGTGGCTCTTGAGGCACTTCTACTCTTCAGGTAAGTCCTAATTCTTATATTAAACCCTTTATTTCTGGCATTCTTGGAGTGGATTTGCTTTCTTAACCAAATAGACTGAAAAGGATTCAGTTCCCAGAGCAGATGTTTTGATAGTTGTTGTTCAGCTGAAAGAGCCTAAATACCAAGAAGAAAGATGGAGGTATTAGAAATAAGAATGGGAGGGGCATTGAGGTCCTGGAGAAGACAATACAGGTAAAGTCAAGAGGATCGTTGAAGGGACTATCCTTGAGCAGGAGGAGGGAAGGAAACAACCTTCAGATGAGAAAGAAGCTCAGAATGGATGTTGTGTTACGTTGGCTCCTTTGGGGAGCAGACATCAGGGTGCAATTAAATGTGCAAGATATTCATTAGGGAAAATGCTTATTAGAGAAAATAGGAAGGAAGGGAGAGGAGACTGGGAGAACTTTGATTTGGGTATGACTCCTGTGAAGGAGAGATGGGGAAAGAGAGGTTGAGTAGAAGGTGTCTTCGAAGCAGTACAGTCTGAGAAAGTTTTGACAAGGGAAGTCCTCCAGTCAAAGTCAGAGCAATCCTGCTTTCTTATCTCTGCCACTTCCATCATGGGCTGCCAGTGGGAATCACGGCCACACCTCAAACTCTGTGGTAGATTTGGAGTACAGCAGTTGGGACCATCAGCCAGTTATGCTCCCTGAAGTCAGGAAGCCAAGAGGCGCATTTTCATGTTCACTACAGGTGGAAATATCGATGTTGGTGTAGGTTTTGAAGTGAGGAACAAGAGGTTGAGGTGGTCTATGCCTCAGTTTTTTCATTTATGAAATGAGGTAACTGGAATAATAATCTGAAAAGTTTTTTACACTTCTAAATCCTAGTTTTTCCAAGTAAGTATTTTTTTCTTTTTTTTTGAGACAGTTTCGCTCTTTTTGCCCAGGCTGGAGTGCAATGGTATGATCTCAGCTCACTGCAACCTCCGCCTCCCCGGTTCAAGCCATTCTCCTGCCTCAGTCTCCCAGGTAGGTGGGATTACAGGCGCCTGCCACCATGCCCAGCTAATTTTTTGTATTTTTAGTAGAGACGGGGTTTCACCATGTTGGTCAGAATGGTCTTGATATCTTGACCTCGTGATCTGCTCGCCTCAGCCTCCCAAAGTGCTGGGATTACAGGCGTGAGCCACCGTGCCCAGCCTAGTCTTTTTTGTTTTGCTTTTTTTTAAATAAAGAAAGCCAAAGTAATTAATCTATGGTTTAAATGATATCAAATACATAGACAAGCCTATAATGTTAATAATGTTACTAACAATAATGATGGTGATAATAATGATGTCTAACTTGTCCTGAGTGCTTTCTAAGCAGGTTTTATGAAATTACCCAATCTAGGCCCCACTCTTTTCACACCTAATTTTGCTTTCTGGGGGCAATTTCTTTTAGCCATTTCTATTTTGAGTTCTCCTAAGGGTGACTTCCATATCCTTAAAATAATATGTTTAGATTGCTATTTCTTGGTTTATCAAATTTGTCTCTTATTTTATGATAGGTGATCACTTTTGAAAGCTACTTTGATGGTTCTGAGCATTAGGTGCTATAAAAAGGCAGCTTACACTGAAGGAATACGGATCAAAAGGATTTGGTGTGTGCAAATAAGAAATATGTAATAGATTTAGGGCTACAGATGAATACATATCAAATACATCTAAAACAGTCACATGCAGAAATAGCCAAATACAATTAACTAATTCTATTAGGTAAGATGCACGAAAGTGTAGATTTTCCTTATTGCCTTGAGGAAATAAAAGATTGTACAGAGCTGCCATTCCAAACCTTATCCATGATATGCTATAAAGGGTCTGGGATTAATTAAATACAGGATTGATGTGTGCCATGTGTCACGAGGGGTACACGTTGAGCATTTGTAAAATAATGAGTGTTTCTTTATAAATTAGTTTTAACTATATGTTCATATTTAACCTAATTACTGAGTAATACATTTATAAAAGTGTTCATTTCTTTTTTGAATTATAAATATTAAGATTTACTCATGATGTAGTTTGTGTACTATATGGAACTGTTTTTTCTTTCTAATAAAGGTAAAGGATTCATTAAAAAACAAAAAACATCAAAGAAAATGTGAAATAATTATTTAAAATTTTAAATTATTTATATTTAACCTTCTCTCACACAATATAAAATGGTATAAATAATTTTCTTCCACTGGAAGTACAGCTTCTAAAAGAGAGGAGGAAAACCTTTCTATATATTTCCAGTCAAATTGCTGGCAGTCGAGGCACTATTTTGGTCATTTAATTTTTTAATTTTTTTAGTTTTGTTCTTTTTTAAGTTTATTAAGAAAGTTAAGGAATAAAAGAATGGCTATTCCATTGGCAGAGCAGCGTGGTCATTTTAAAAATGTCATTTAAACTGATTTATGCAGGGAACATTTTGAACAATTATGCTGGCCGTTTAAAGTAGGCTCTGTCAACACTGAACTGAATTATTTCAATAGTTTATTTTCTCTCTGTGTGACTTTCTTTGTGCAGCTAGCCAAAATGGGGGGGATAAGATGGGTCCAACATTTACATTGAAATTATTCCAATTAGGACTTTGGCAGTAGAACTACAATCTCTCCAGCTGTGGGTTAAGTGTTTTAGAGATATTTGCATGTGGTCAAGGCATGCACATGGAATGCCTTTGGCAATGGGTAGAGGCCATCCAGAGCATGATAAATTAGACCGTGATCTTTATTCACTCTGGGTTCTGGACTAAAAATACTTTTGTCAGCTAGAGGACTTTACCATGTTCACTGGAGAACTGATGATATCAAAGTTATATCATACCCTTTTCCATTTATGACAATGCCATGCTTTTATCCAAATTGATGTAAAGGAATCTGGATTGTTAAGAATAGCAAAAAAAGTCTTAGATTCTGACTTCTGGTGAATACATTCATTACTCTTTGTAGTGGCTTAGAGCTCCTGATTTTAGGTGCACACAAGTGAATTTTATTTGATTTAATATATAATAACTGTACATTATGAAGATCTTGTCAACAATAGATCCTGCCACTGGAAAAACTCCTGAATAGGTAACATAATTGTAGGCAAATTACAATGTTTGTTAACAGTTCATTGTTTTCTTCGTGTTCCAAGTTGGTGTTTTTCAAAAAGTTTTCTTAAGGCTAATAAAGGAGAGTATATTTCAGACTTCACACTATTCAGTATGATAGCCACTAGCCACACGTAACTGTTAAGCACTGAAATGTAGCTAGTTTGGATTGAGATGTTCCTTAAGTGTAAAATACACCCTGGATTTCAATTTAAACATGTAATGTTTTATTTTTTATTGATTACATGCCAAATTGGTAACATTTTAGATATATTAAATATTATACACAATTAATTTAAAAAAAAATTTTTTTTTTTTTTTAGGCAAGGTTTCACCTGTTGCCCAGGCTGGAGGGCAATGGTGTAATCACAGCTCACTGTAGCCTCCACCTCATAGGTCCAGGTGGTTCTCCCACTTCAGCCTCCTGGGTAGCTGGGACTACAGGCGCACATCACCACACCTGGCTAATTATTTGTATTTTTTTTTACAGACAGTGTTTCATAATGTTGCCCAGGCTGGTCTCAAACTCCTGGGTTCAAGCAACCCATCCACCTCGGCTTACAAATTAATTTTAACCCTTTTTTACTTCAACTTTAGGCTTACTTTTTACTTTAACTTTAGAGATATTTAGGTAAGGGAAATGTGCTCATGAAAGAAAGAATATCTTTTTCCATTTTCCAAGCTATTCTGTGTTTTGGATGTTGGCCTGTTGTATTTAGTCTCCTCTCCTTATGCTAGAGACACTGACATACTATTCTGGAGTGAGGCAGGTGGAGAAAAATTTTAGAACTAGACTGGGGAGGAAAAAATAGACTTCATTTAAAATCATATTTTATTGTGAGAGATAAGGAACTATATAATAGCTCATCATTTCAATAGTATTATCGCTCTGAATAGTATATTACTACACTACCAATTTCAAGGCCTTTTCTATTTAATTTCTGAGATTCTATTCCTAGAAGATTAACTTGCAGACTAGCATTCTGAAAATATGCAAGGAATTATATGAATAATTGTTCAGTTGAATAGGAGAAAGGATTATATTTACTCATGTTTATGTAGTATGTTTTAAGTTAAACATGCTTATCTGTAGGAGGCGATTGGCAGCTAGTGACCTTAGACAGTTTACACTTTTAGTTTTGACCAAAATCATACAACATCTGGCATTTTTGTAAAACTAAACAGAGTTATAATTTGCAGCAGTAATAGAACTGATGATTTATTAGCTCAGTAAAATTTTCATTTGGATTTAAAGGGGGGGAGATGTCTGAATACCATAAAAAGGACATTTATAACCATCAAACCCCTTAAAATCTAATGAAGAAGTTGTGTTTCTGGCACAACCATGACTTGTAAACAATTCAAAATATGTAGTCGAAATGTCAAGACTAGTTATGGAAAAGAAAGGCTTTGACAGAGGAATTGTTTTTGGATAATTTCTTGCTTATATAGTAAATTAATTTTGAATTCAATATTATAAAATAATAAAACTGTTTACTCCAAATAACTTACTTTAAACCTTGTCATCAATTTATGCAGAGAATAATACCATAAAATGCCATTTCTATTAGATTTTTTATTCATTTCTTCATTCAATAAGTATTTATCTACCACAAAATATCACATGTACCTCATAAATATGTGCAACTATTATGTATCAATAAAAAAAATTTACCTATTATGTGCCCATAACTTAATACTGTTCTGTGTTAAAAATTCAGAACAGCAGAAGACATGTTCCCTGATGTCACATTGCTGTGAATCTGGTGGAGGAAATAGTCGTATAAGCTGAGAAGTCAAATCCAATTAGGGAACGGGTGAAAGAGGGAGCTGAGCCAAGCATAGTGGGCCCAGAGGAGAGCAAGTTACCTGCCTGGTGAGCAGGAGGGAGGGGATTCGAAGAAGGGGAGCCATTTGAAGCAGGTCTGGAAGGATGAGTAGGAGCTGGTCGTTCTTGCCAGGAGAGGAGTATAGTCAAAGCAAGGAGACATGAAAGAACTTAGTGTTGTGGGGAAAAGAGGGGTGAGAGAGTGGTGGGTTTAGACCTTGTATGTCACAGATGAATTTATGAGCTATCAACAATTTTATAAAAGACAGAAAACTTCATTTTCCTAAAAAAAAAAAAAAAATCCTGTCTGAGTGCGGTGGTTCATGCCTAAAATGCCAGCACTTTGGAAGGCTGAGGCAGGAGGATCGCTTGAGGCCAGGAGTTCAAGACCAGCTTAAGCAACAAAAAGAGACCCTCTCATGACAAAATATTTAAAAAGTAGCTTGGTGCGGTGGTGTGCACCTGTAGTCCCAGGTACTAGGGAGGCTGAAGTGGGAGGATCACTTGAGCCCAGGAGTTCGAGGCTGGGAGGCTGAGGTGGGCGGATCACCTAAGGTCAGGAGTCCGAGACCAGCCTGGCCAACATGGCGAAATCCCATCTCCACTAAAAATACAAAAATTAGCCTGATGTGGTGGTGCGTGCCTTTAGTCCCAGCTGCTCAGGAGGTTGAGGCAGGAGAATCCCTTGAACCCAGGAGGTGGAGGATGCAGTGAGCCGAGATCGCACCACTGCACTCCAGCCTGGACAATAGCACAAGACTCTGTCTCAAAAACAAACAAACAAACAAGATTTCTAATTAGATGCTATAGGTGGGCCTGTATTTGTGAATAGAGAATTTCATTTCTTTCTATGATGTACATTGTAGATTAAGAGTACATATAAACAGAAGGAAAATCCCTGTGTAGCAGGAGGAAAATAATTTCATAGAGAGCACAGTATGCTGAAGCTGAGCTTCCTGCTCCCAAGTAGCAAAGAAATGGTTACAAAGAAAAGGGCTCCAGTCAGATGGCTTATACAAGTGGCAACCAGCCAACATCTGCTTTCATTTATTTTTACATAGTAGTGAAGACCATAGAGTTTGGTGCCAGTCAAGCCTGGGTTAATGTGTTCTGGTTTAGCCATTCACTAATTGTGAACACATGGGAAAATCAATCAATTTCTTGAAACTTTTGTTTCCTTAAATGAAAAATGAGAATATTAATAATACTTCATAAAGTTGTGAGGATTAAATGAAATAATTTCAGTAAGACTCTTAGTACAGAACTTGGGACATATAATGTGTTTAATAAATGGTAGATATTATTATTAATTTTCTTTGTCAAGTTATTTTTAAAATCTTCACATTAGTTACTGATCATCTGGCACTATATATAGGACCTTTCCTCTTTGAGGCTAGAAGGTGATTCAAAAAGGGGAGGAATTGTGGAGCGCTGGCTTCAGATCTAATAGAAGTGACTGCCTATATCACTGGCTTTCTCTGATTCTCACTTTATTTATCTACAAAGTGTAAGATTAAATGATCTGTAGCTCTAATTCTGGATTATATTAGTTAGAATTAGTGTGGCTATTATCAAAACAGAAAAATAAACAACACAAAAGTTTATTTCTCTCTCACCAAAAAAGCTTAGGGCGTTGCCATTAGGAATGGTATGTCAGGTCTGTTCTGCAGAAACCTAAATGTCTTTCAGGGATACCCAAGGAATAGCCCCATTCTCTTCATTCAAGACAGTGGCTGGAGTGCCAGAGCTCCAGCCAGATGTGACATCTACACACCAGGCATCAGGGACAAAGTGACAAAGAATAATGGTCAAAGGGCTCACGGGCCATCTCATGAGGAAGGTGCCCCATGACATTTCTATGCACTAGACAGAATTACTCATAATACTGCTCCTGGCTCCAGGGGCAGTTGGAGAAATTTAGTCTTTATCCTGGAGAGTCACGTACCAGCAAAAACATATTACCATTGTTAAAGAAAAACTTCAGCCCAATTAAGTGTAAAGGAGTTTAACTGAGCAATGAAAGACTCACAGATTGGGCAGTCCTCAGATTCACAGCAGATTCAGGGAGACTCCAGAACAAATCTGTAGACAAAAAAAAAGGGAAGTGACCTACAGAAATCAGAAGTGAGGTACAGAAACAACTGGATTGGTTACAGCTCCACACTTCCCTTATTTGAACACAGTTTGAACGCTTATCAGTGTATGAGTAGTTGAAGTATGGCTCTGGGATTGGCCAAGACTTAGCTGTTGTCACAGGCTCATACTCCCAAGTTAGGTTTTCAAGCTTGTCTACCTATTAAGTTAGGTTGCAGGTTATCCACAAGAATTCAAATACAGAAGTGTGGAGTCCTTTTCAGGCCACATTTAGTTTGCTTTAACACCATAGAAAAAGTGGAGAAGAGGTATTGGGAGATAATTAACACTCTCTGTCACATAAAATATAGGACCAGTTATTGTTTCTGCTTTCAACAGGCCATGATGTAGTCACTGAAATCTGCATTGCTTTGGTACCTTTGGGCTAAACAGATCAGCTCTTCCTATGCAGTTGGGAAGTCTCACTACTGCATAACAAATAAGGATCCTAAGTGGAAATCACTTCAAATTTAGTGCCAACATCCTTTTGATCCAGAAATTTTTGTTTGAGAAACTTATTGAGCTCCTGTCCTCATTTTCTGCCCACCTAAAGCTGCTTCTCTACAGTGGTTCTCATCTTGGTTAAGGACAATTCCACTCTTCCAGTTGCTCCGCTCAGAAACCTTGGCATCAGCCTTGCATCCATCTCTCTTTTACCACATCCAATTCACCAGCAAATGCTTCTCACTCCTTTCATTGCTATCACCTTGTCTCTTACCTGTGTGATGGCAGAAGTTACCTAAGTCTTTACCTTTTCCTCCTTTTCTATCAATTCCCAGCATAGTTGCCAGAGTGATTCTGTAAATATGTAAGTCAAAAGGCTTATCTTTTAAGAAACACAATGAAGTATTTACAAGTAAAATTGTATGGTGTTTGGGATTCGCTTTAAAACACTGGAGCAAAAAACACTGGTGTGGAAAGAGATAAGAAAAATTGGCAAAATATTGATGAATGTTGAAGACAAGTTATGTATGCATAGGGCCTTATTGTTCCATCCTTTATAGTGCCCATAATAAAAAGATTTTTAAAAATGTCAGTCACTTTTAAAAGGCATAGAGTCCTTTCTCTTCTCCATTCATTTATTGCTCATTTAACACGTATTTCCTGAGTACCTACTATATGAATATGAATTATTACCTTCTGTCCTCATAGAGCTTACACCTTCAAGTCTTTACTAATATTTCACCTTCCCAGAGAGGACTTCCCTGGACACAATTTTTTTAAAAAATTGAGATAAAATTCATGTAACATAAAATTATTTTAAGGCTGGGCATGGTGGCTCACACCTGTAATCCTAGCACTTTATGAGGCAGAGGTGCGTGAATTTCTTGATCTCAGGAGTTCAAGACCAGCCTGGGCAACATACTGAGACCCTGTCTTTACAAAAAAATACAAAAATTAGCCTGGTGTGGCTAATTTTTGGTGGCGTGTGCCTGTAGTCCCAGCTACTTGGGAGGCTGAGGTGAGAGGATCACCTGAGCCCAGGAGGTGGAGGTTGCAGTGAGCTGAGATTGCACCACTGCACTCCAGCATGGGTGACAGAGCCAGACCCTGTCTTAAAAAAAAAAAATTATTTTAAAGTGTACAGCTTAGTGGTATGTAGGACATTGACAATGTTATACAACGATCACTTCTAACTAGTTCTAAAATGTTTTTTATCACCCCAAAAGAAAACACTCTGTCCCCATTAAGACAGTCGCTTACTCCATTTTAAATCATAACTGCCACACTCTATATCCTCTTTCCCTGCTTTAATTATTTCTGTGTAGAACTCATCACTATTGTATTAGTTTCCTAGTACTGCCGTATCAAAGTACTAAAAACGAGGTGGCTTAGAACAACAGAAATATATCATCTCATAGTTCTGCAGACTACCAGCATGAGATCAAAGCGTTAGCAGGGTTGGTTCCTTCTGAAGGTTTAAGAGAGAATCTGTCCATGCCTCTCTTCTAGCTTCTGGCTTTGTTGGCAATGTTGGTGTTCCCGGTTTGTAGGCCCGTCACCCTGATCTCTGCCCTCATATTCACATGGCATCTCCCTATGTGCGTGTATCACTGTGCATAGTTCCCCTTTTTATAAGGATACTAGTCATATTGGATTAGGAGTCCACCCTACTCCATATGATCTCATCTTACCTTAACTAATGAAACCTGCAATGACCCTATTTCCGAATAAGGTCACTCTCTTAGGCTCTAAGGGATAAGACTTCTACATAGGTATTTGGAGAGGACACAATTCAACCCATAACACCATGCAACATGCTATAGTTTTAACTAATTATTTTATTTTATTTTTGGAAATGGATTCTCACTCTGTTGCCCAGGCTGGAGTGCAGTGGTACAATCTCAGCTCACTGCAACCTCCACCTGCCAGGTTCAGACGATTCTCCTGCCTCAGCCTCCCGAGCAGCTGGGATTACAGGTGCCTACCATCACACCTAGCTAATTTTTGTATTTTTAGTAGAGATGGGGTTTCACCATGTTGGCCAGGCTGGTCTCTAACTCCTGACCTCAAGTGATTTGCCTGCCTTGGCCTCCCAAAGTGCTGGGATTACAGGCGTGAGCCACCACTCACGGCCAACACACTATATGTTTAAATTATCATGCTTACTGTTTGTTTTCCCCCAGTTGACAAGAGGGCAGGGATTGTCAGTCTTCCCAACCTAGCTGAAAAAAAAAAAAGGAATGAATGAACAACCAACAACTGGAACATGAGCTCCTTGAAGACAGGGAATTTGTCAGATTTGGATTCTGTTAAATCACCATCATCTACAACAGAGTGTGGCACAGAGTAGTCCCCCAATAAATGTTTGTTGGATGAACCAATGACATTTAGAGTCAGATAGACTAATGTTGCCTTTATTGAATAGACTCTATGATAAGCAATGAACATAGCAATCACTTATGGGGAAAAAAAGGACATCTACCTTTCTAAAAATCAGGACATAAGCACATTTTTACTGCAGGAAATGTTCTATTATCTTTATTCAGGACCGTTAAACATTATGTCAAATGACTAATATGCTAGAAAAACTGGGATTACTACCTTAACTCTTTCCTTAAGTTTCCAGAGATGAGATCTGAAATTTACTGCATTTCCCTGGATGAATTATTTTCTTTTTTATTTAAGTTATAAAAGTTATTATATTATTATATTATTATAAAACTCTATATTTAAGTTATATAATATCAGTTAGACAATTTTTTGGGTAGTAATTACAAACTTACTTTGTATAGAATAAATACAGTCAGGTGAGGTGGCTCATGCCTGTAATCCCAGTGTTTGGGGACACTGAGACAGGCAGATCACTTGAGCGCTGGGGTTCCAGAGCAGGTTGGGCAACATGGCAAAACCCCATCTCTACAAAAAATACAAAGACTAGGCAGGTGTGGTGGTGCATACCTGTAGTCCCGGCTACTTGGGAGGCTGAGGTGGGAGGATCATGTAAACTCAGGAGTCAGAGGTTGCATGCAGTGAGCCAAGGTAACGCCACTGCACTCCAACCTGAGCCAGACCCTGTCTCTAAATAAATAAATAAATGGAGGTAAGGTATTTAGTTCACCTGAAGGATAGTATGCTCAAGGAGACAAAATTTTGTCTAAATTCACAAGGACATTTTCAAGAAAAATAAACCATTTGTGCTTGGCAACATTGGGGGCCCTTTGATCTAATGTCCGTCTCGTTTAGTCATTCATAACTTGAATTATCTTGAAACACTCCACTGACTAACGTGAACCTGCTAGGAGGTGCATTCCAGGCCAGAGAATTGTAATTCATGCCCAAGTATTTCCACTGCTTAACTGTGTCATTTCACTTCTCTAAAGCAGTTGAAATCTTGAAATCACTGTAAAGGTGAGTGTAGTAATGTAATTTGCAAGAAGGATAAGGAGAAGAAGAAGAAAGAAAAAAGAGAAGAAGAGGAAGAGGAAGAAGAAGAAGATGAAGAGAAGGAGGAGGAGGAGGAGGAGGAAAGACAGAAAGACAAAATTGAGATTGCCAGATTAAAAAATTTTGTGTGCAGCTAGGCTCAGTGACTCATGCCTGTAATCCCAGCACTTACGGAGGCCCAGGCAGGAGAACTGTTTGAGGTTAGGTGTTCAAGACCAACCTGGGCAACATGGCAAGACCTCATTTCTACAAAAAAATAAAAATTGCCAAGTATGGTGATGGTGTCCCTGTGGTCTCAGCTACTTGGTAGGCTGAGGTGGGAGGATCGGCAGGAGATCGAGGCTGCCATGAACCATGATCACGCTGCTGCACTCCAGTCTCGGCGACAGAGTGAGACACTGACTCAAAAAGAAAAAAGTAGGGCCGGGTGCGGTGGCTCACACCTGTAATCCCAGCACTTTGGAAGGCCGAGGTAGGCAGATCACGAGGTCAGGAGATCGAGACCATCCTGCCTAACACGGTGAAACCCCGTCTCTACTAAAAATACAAAAAATTAGCCAGGCCTGGTGGCAGGTGCCTGTAGTCCCAGCTAGTCTGGAGGCTGAGGCAGGAGAATCGCTTGAACCTGGGAGGCGGAGGTTGCAGTGAGCCGAGATCGCGCCACTGCACTCCAGCCTGGGTGACAGAGCGAGACTCTGTCTCAAAAAAAAAAAAAAAAGAAAAAATTTTTGTGTGATAACATGGGAATTATAACAAAGTTCAAGAAGCTAACAGCCCAAATCAGTAATTCCATTGAGATCAGAGGGCTGACAGCAGATGGCGCTATTCCATCTTGACTTAGCCATTGTGCAAGCAACCACCTTGGAAACCACTGAAAGGCAGCGGCATCAGTCTCCTTTTTTAGCATCGGAACTTGGACAGGTGACCCAGAGTTAAAACTTTTAAATGAAGGAATATTTTATCCTAGTATTTTATTTTCATAAAAAAGAACTAACGCAGTGGCTTATGCCTGTAATCCCAGCACTTTGGGAGGCTTAAGCGGGTGGATCACTTGAGGTCAGGAGTTCGAGACCAGCCTGGCCAACATGGTGAAACCCCGTCTTTACTAAAAATAGAAAAATTAGCCGGACGTAGTAGTGCGCGCCTGTAATCCCAGCTACTCAGGAGGCTGAGGCACGAGAATAGCTTGAACTCAGGAAGCGGAGGTTGCAGTGAGCCAAGATCCTGCCACTGCACACCAGCTTGAAGCATAGAAAAATTAAAGTACTGAAGTAGATTAAAATGGGAAAATGTGTTAGAAGTTATTGTGTGGGTGTTTTCCTACCATGCCTGGAAAGCTTATTCTTGTTTGGCATTTAATTAATTCAGTTCACTAAAAAATAATTGAGTGCTCACATGTATCCAGCACAGTTATGGTTGCTTGGTGTACATCCATGAACAAAAAAGACAAAGATCCCTGTATTTGTGGAGCTTCTATTGCATCAGGGAGAGAAAGACAATAAAAATAATAAATAAGAAAATAGTACAGTGTGTTAGAAGGGGGTAAGTGACACTTTGGAAAAATAAAGGCAGGGCATGGTAAGGGGGCTCAGGCATCCTGGGCAGTGGGGAGGGTTTGATTTTGTATAAGGTATTTTATTCATTGAGGAGATGACATTTCAACAAAAATATAAAGGATGTAAGGGAGTTAGCTAGGTAAATATCCAGGGAAAGAGGAGTTCCTGCAGAGGGACTAGACTTTACAAAGACCTCAGTTTGGGAGCATGTTTGGTTTGTTTAGAGAACTCAACAAGATGGTCAATGTGGCTGCAGTGGAGTGAATGAGAAGGGGAGCAGGAGAAGATGAGGTCAGAGAGGTGAAATAGCGGGCAGATCCTGGAGGCTTTGCAAACTATTCTAAGAAATCGAGTGCCATTGTCAAGTCTTGAACAAAGGAGTAATAAAATCTGATTTATGGCTTTTTTCTTCTTTTTTTTTTGAGATGGAGTCTCACTCTGTTGCCTAGGCTGGAGTGCAATGACATGATCTCGGTTGACTACAACATCCGCCTCTCGGGTTCAAGTGATTCTCCTGCCTCGGCCTCCCGAGTAGCTGGGATTACAGGCATCCGCCACCATGCCAAGGTAATTTTTATATTTTTAGTAGAGATGGGGTTTCACCAGTTTGGCCAGGCTGGTTTTGAACTCCTGAATTCAGGTGATCCACCTGCCTCGGCCTCCCAAAGTGCTGGGATTACAGGCATGAGCCACCGTGTCTGGCCTGGTTTATGTTTTTAAAAGATCATGCAGTCCTGTGATAAGAATAGTAGACTTTAGAGGGTCAAACATAGAAGTTGGGAAGCTAGAGAAGGGGCTATTACAGCAGTCCAGACAAAAGCCCAGAGTGGCTCAAACCAGGTATTAATGGAAATAACAATGGAGGTATCAGGAAGTAGCTGGATTCTGGCTATTTATTTTGACATTAGAGTTGACAGATTTTTTTTTTTTTCTGATGGATTGGATATTAGATGTGGGGATAAGAGAGGTGTCAAGAAAGATTTGAAATCTTTTGCCCCCAATTAACTGGAATGACGGGGAAGACTGTGGGAGGAGTGAGTTTTGAAACACAAATTGGGTGTTGTGGGCTGGGCGCGGTGGCTCACGCCTGTAATCCCAGCACTTTGGGAGGCCAAGGCAGGCGGATCACGAGGTCAGGAGTTTGAGACCAGCCTGACCAACATGGTGAAACCCCATTTCTACTAAAAATACAAAAAATTAGCCGGGCCTGGTGGCGCACGCCTGTAATCCCAGCTACCTGGGAGGCTGAGGCAGGAGAATTGCTTGAATCCAGGAGACAGAGGTTGCAGTGAGCCGAGATCGCGCCATTGCATTCCAGCCTGGGCAACAGAATGAGACTCTGTCTCAAATCAATAAATAAATAAATAAATAAATAAATAAATAAATAAATAAATTGGGTCTTGCAAGTTGAACACATTGATTTTGAGATGTCTACCATCAACTGCAATAGAAAGGTTATGGAAAGTAAGAGTTTGGAAGGAAAGGCCAGGGCCATAGTTTTGGACATACTGAGTTTGGATGTCTATTAGCCATCAAAGTGGCAAGAAAAAGCTTCTGAAAATTTTTGAATGTGAAATTGATAATCCGTTTCCATCAGTGTAGGACACCTCAAAACAGCAAAGACTGGACTAGAGAAAATTATATAACTAGAGGCTATTATAACCTGGGCTGGATAGGAAGAGCCTGAACTTGAACTGGCAGTAGACGTGGAGATGGGCAGAAGGACAGTGACTATCCTGCAGGCAGAATGTCCAGGACTTAGTGGCTGGTTCGACTTGTTGGGTGAGAAGGAGGTAAAATGCCTGATTTATGGGAAGTGGTTAATGACAGTAAAAGAGAAGAGATGAATTTCAGAGGACGTCTTTTTCTCTGTGTTTTTATTTGTATATTTCTTCCTAAATTCTCTTGTATCCTGGAAATTAAAACAGAAAATTATCATTGTATCTTTTCTATAAAGTCTCAAAGTCAAGGGAGGAAACTGGGAAATACACCCTATCAGATTTAAGAGAAAAAGACCTCTGATACTGTCTTTCCTCCAATGATTCTTTAAAAAAATCAATTTTAAAAATTGATAAAGAAAATTTGTATATATTTATGGTACAACATGATGTTTTGAAATATGCATACATTGTGGAATGGATAAATGGAGCTAATTAACATATACATTACCTTATATAATTATCAATTTTTGTGGTGAGAACACTTAAAATCTACTTTCAGCAATTATCAAGAATACAGTACATTGTTATTAACTGTAGTCACCATGTTTTTCAATAGGTCTCTTGAACTTATTTCCCCTAACTGAAATTTTGTTATCTTTTGACCAATGTCTCTCCAACCTCCTACTCCTTCAACCCCCCAACCCCTGATAACCATCATTCTACTCTCTGCTTCTACGAGTTTGACTTTCTTAGATTCCACGCATAAGTGAGACCATGCAGTATTTATCTTTCTGTTCCTGGCTTATTTTATGTAACATCATATCCTCCAGGTTCATCCATGTGGTTGCAAATGACAAGATTTCTTTCCTTTAAAAGGCTAAATAGTATTTCATTGTGTCTATGTATCACATTTCCTTCATCTACTCATTCATTGATGGACACTTATGTTGGTTTTATATCTTGGCTATTGTGAATAAAGTTGCAGTGAACATGAGGGTGCAGATACCTCTGTAACATACTGATTTCATTTCCTTTGGATATATACCCAGTAGTGGAATTGCTGGATCGTATGGTACTTCCATTTTTACTTTTTTGAGGGAGCCTGATAATGTTTTTTTATAATGGCTATACTACATGATTTTTAAAAAATTGCACTTGAGCCATGTATATTTTATTATCACAAGAAATTCACATTGCTTTTTTAAGACTAAGTAACTCATGCTGCTTTTGGAAATGAGTAACATAGGGAATGCATCTTCTACCAAGAAAGCAGGAAATAGCTCAAGATCAACTCTGTGGAGAAGAAACGGCAACAGAAACTAGTCCACGTTGGCAGTTAGGTATTTGCCCCTTCAATGCATATATTTGCAAAATACCATCTGCCTTTCTAATTTGCACCTTTCCTGCAATAATTGGTAATGCCAATGTCAGAATATAAGACAGAACAAGGGTGACATTCTGCTGACATTTATAGACATTACCCGAGGAAGGGAGCTCTTGTCTTTCAGACACATTTCCAATTTACAAGGTATTTTAAATTGTAAATTGTAACCAAAGGTTATCATATTAGTTATTATTCAACACATATTCACATCTACTCTGTGATAGGCACTATTCCAGGATGTAACCAGGCAGAATTTTAATATGCATATTTCACTAAGCCAAGGACACTTGGCTGTTGGTGCTTGCTTGATCTTAGTAAATGGTGTCAAGGAAAGGCATTTAAACAATTACATCAGCACTGCCTCTGGCTGAAAGATATTGTAAGATACCATGGATTACAGGATGCATCCTGATTCTATAAGTTAAAATGTGAACAAAACAGGTACATCTTAAAAACTGATGAAATAGGTAGTAGGTAACATTTATTGAGTGCTAACTCTGTGCCTGGCACTGTGCTAAAGGCTTAGCATGCACTGATTTTAGTCTAGAGCATTTGCATTCAGAATAAAATTTTGTCCAAGCAACAATTTTCCCTAAGAATATGGGAGATGCCTGCTTTACAGTTTTGTAATGAAATCACTGAATCTTACAGTTTGCCTACTTGCAGCTTAGAAATGCAAGGTTTATTTTCTTTCATAACTTTACTTATTGAGAACCCTTAAATTCTAGGGCCTGAGTTTTCAGCAATAAATTTATTAAATAATTGTGTAAATTAAATTCAACCAATGTTTCTTTACTGCTTATTTTATGATAAGAATAATAGTAGATACTTTAAGATTTTGCCAGCAAAATCTTAAAATTCAGTGGAAGCACTGACATATCACTAGAATCTGTGACACCTATAGGTTGTAAGTATAAGTCACACGTGGGCATAGAAAAGAAAAACAATGGGCATGGGGTTGGGGAGGGACATCAGAGAAATCTTGACGGAGACAATGGCAGTTGAGTTGGTCATCATGAACAAGCAAGTGGAAAACCTGTGTGATCAAATACCTTTTAAATCCAATCAAATATTAGAGGGCCAAAAGCCAAGGGCCATATATATGACATTGGGTACACTTTCTTGAATTGAGAAGTAAACACCAAGGAGCATTCTGCAATACAGAAATTAAAGAAACAACTAGCAGCTAACATTGTAGACAGCTACATTGTTCTTGTGAGCCCGTATGAACTAGTCTGAACTTTAATGATCAGGAGTGGACACTTTGCGGATTTCTTTCAACTCGGAAGAAGGAAGAGAAGAGGCAATTGCTCAGACTACCAGACAAAAGCCAAGTTGGCCCCTGAGTGGTCCTGAATAAGGTCAAACTTCAACTTTCTCAGAAGCCATAGAACAATATTTTAGACATGATTTCTGATTAAAATCTATGCAATTCTAGACTCCACTGAAAATTCCGTACCATTCTGTAAAGTATAAATATGTTTTATTAACATCAATTCTGTTTGTATAAGTTCCTCTGATCAGAAAAAGCGGAAGATAATTTTTTTCTAAGGTCCAGAGACCCTCAGTAGGGTTTAAAAATCTTAAATTAAAAAAAAAATTAAAATAAGTATAGATTCACAGAAAGTTTCAAAAATAGTACAGATGGGTCTTATGTACCCTTCACTTATTTCTCCCAATGGTTCTATCTTACATGATTATAGTATAATATCAAAACCAGAAACATGGCGTTGGTACAAATGTATTATGTAGCTCCATGTCATTTTATTACATGTGAGGATTTGTATAACCAACATCAAAGTCAAATTCCATCCCACACAGGTGTCCCCTGTGCCTTTATAGTGAAACTCACCCCACTATCCACCAGTATCCCTAACACCTGGAAACCACTATTTTTCATCCCTACAATTTTGTCATACAGAGAATGTTATATGAATGGAGTCATACAGCATATGACCTTCTAAGACGGAGCTTTCCACTGAGCACAATATCCTCTTGATCCATTGAAGTCATTGCATGTATCAGTCAATAGTTTGTATCTTTTTATTTTGAGTAGTTTTCCATAGTATGGTTGTACCAATATTTGTGTTAACATTCATCTATTGAGGGGCATTTTTGTTGTTTTCAGTTTTTAAGTGTTACGAATAAAGCTGCTATGAACAATTACTTACAGTTTTTTTTGTGTGTGGGCATCAGTTTTTATTTCTCTGGGGTAAATGCCCAAGAATGCAATTGCTGGGTTGTATGGCAAGTGCATGCTTAGCTTTTGAGAAACTGCCAAATGATCATCCAGAGTAGCTATCTCATTTTATGAGAAATATATGCGGAAAGACCATTTTTATTTATTTTATTTATTTATTTATTTATTTATTTATTTATTTATTTATTTATTTATTTTACTTTAAGTTTTAGGGTACATGTGCACAACGTGCAGGTTAGTTACATGTGTATACATGTGCCATGTTGGTGTGCTGCACCCATTAACTCATCATTTAACATTAGGTATATCTCCTAATGCTATCCCTCCCACCTCCCCCACCCCACAACAGGACCCTGTGTGTGATGTTCCCTTTCTTGTGTCCAAGTGTTCTCATTGTTCAATTTCCACCTATGAGTGAGAACATGTGGTGTTTGGTTTTTTGTCCTTGCGATAGTTTGCTGAGAATGATGGTTTCCAGCTTCATCCATGTCCCTACAAAGGACATGAACTCTTCATTTTTTATGGCTGCATAGTATTCCATGGTGTATATGTGCCACATTTTCTTAATCCAGTCTATCATTGTTAGACATTTGGGTTGGTTCCAAGTCTTTGCTATTGTGAATAGTGCCGCAATAAACATATGTGTGCATGTGTCTGTATAGTAGCATGATTTATAATCCTTTGGGTATATACCCAGTAATGGGATAGCTGGGTCAAATGGTATTTCTAGTTCTAGATCCCTGAGGAATCGCCACACTGACTTCCACGATGGTTGAACTAGTTTACAGTCCCACCAACAGTGTAAAAGTGTTCCTATTTCTCCACATCCTCTCCAGCACCTGTTGCTTCCTGACTTTTTAATGATTGCCATTCTAACTGGTGTGAGATGGTATCTCATTGTGGTTTTGATTTGCATTTCTCTGATGGCCAGTGATGATGAGCATTTTTTCATGTGTCTTTTGGCTGCATAAATGGCTTCTTTTCACAAGTGTCTGTTCATATCCTTCGCCCACTTTTTGATGGGGCTGTTTGTTTTTTTCTTGTAAATTTGTTTGAGTTCATTGTAGATTCTGGGTATTAGCCCTTTGTCAGATGAGTAGATTGCAAAAATTTTCTCCCATTCTGTAGGTTGCCTGTTCACTCTGATGGTAGTTTCTTTTGCTGTGTGGAAGCTCCTGAGTTTAATTAGATCCCATTTGTCAATTTTGGCTTTTGTTGCCATTGCTTTTGGTGTTTTAGACATGAAGTCCTTGCCCATGCCTATGTCCTGAATGGTAATGCCTAGGTTTTCTTCTAGGGTTTTTATGGTTTTAGGTCTCATATTTAAGTTTTTAACCCATCGTGAATTAATTTTTGTATAAGGTGTAAGGAAGAGATCCAGTTTCAGCTTTCTCCATAAGGCTAGCCAGTGTTCCCAGCACCATTTATTAAATAGGGGATCCTTTCCCCATTGCTTGTTTTTGTCAGGTTTGTCAAAGATCAGATAGTTGTAGATATGTGGCATTATTTCTGAGGGCTCTGTTCTGTTCCATTGGTCTATATCTCTGTTTTGGAACCAGTACCATGCTGTTTTGGTTACTGTAGCCTTGTAGGATAGTTTGGAGTCAGGTAGTGTGATGCCTCCAGCTGTGTTCTTTTGGCTTAGGATTGACTTGGCAATGTGGGCTCTTTTTTGGTTGCATATGAACTTTAAAGTAGTTTTTTCCAATTCTGTGAAGAAAGTCATTGGTAGCTTGATGGGGTTGGCATTGAATCTATAAATTACTTTGGGCAGTATGGCCATTTTCACGATATTGATTCTTCCTACCCATGAGCATGGAATGTTCTTCCATTTGTTTGTATCCTCTTTTATTGTATTGAGCAGTGGTTTGTAGTTCTCCTTGAAGAGGTCCTTCACGTCCCTTGTAAGTTGGATTCCTAGGTATTTTATTCTCTTTGAAGCAATTGTGAATGGGAGTTCACTCATGATTTGGCTCTCTGTTTGTCTGTTATTGGTGTATAAGAATGCTTGTGATTTTTGTACATTGATTTTGTATCCTGGGACTTTGTTGAAGTTGCTTATCAGCTTAAGGAGATTTTGGGCTGAGACGATGGGGTTTTCTAGATATACAATCATGTCATCTGCAAACAGGGACAATTTGACTTCCTCTTTTCCTAATTGAATACCCTTTATTTCCTTCTCCTGCCTGATTACCCCGGCCAGAACATCCAACACTATGTTGAATAGGAGTGGTGAGAGAGGGCATCCCTGTCTTGTGCCAGTTTTCAAAGGGAATGCTTCCAGTTTTTGCCCATTCAGTATGATATTGGCTGTGGGTTTGTCATAGGTAGCTCTTAATATTTTGAGATACATCCCATCAATACCTAATTTATTGAGAGTTTTTAGCATGAAGGGTTGTTGAATTTTGTCAAAGGCCTTTTCTGCATCTATTGAGATAATCATGTGGTTTTTGTCGTTGGTTGTGTTTATATGCTGGATTACGTTTACTGATTTGCGTATGTTGAACCAGCCTTGCATCTCAGGGATGAAGCCCATTTTATCATGGTGGATAAGCTTTTTGATGTGCTGCTGGATTTGGTTTGCCAGTATTTTATTGAGGATATTTGCATTGATGTTCATCAGGGATATTGGTCTAAAATTCTCTTTTTTTGTTGTGTCTCTGCCAGGCTTTGGTATCAGGATGATGCTGGCTTCATAAAATGAGTTAGGGAGGATTCCCTCTTTTTCTATTGATTGGAATAGTTTCAGAAGGAATGGTACCAGCTCCTCCTTGTACCTCTGGTAGAATTCAGCTGTGAATCCATCTGGTCCTGGACTTTTTTTGGGTGGTAAGCTATTAATTATTGCCTCAATTTCAGAGCCTGTTATTGGTCTATTCAGAGATTTAACTTCCTCCTGGTTTAGTCTTGGGAGGGTGTACGTGTCAAGGAATTTATCCATTTCTTCTAGATTTTCTAGTTTATTTGCATAGAGGTGTTTATAGTATTCTCTGATGGTAGTTTGTATTCTGTGGGATCAGTGGTGATATCCCCTTTATCATTTTTTATTGCGTCTATTTCATTCTTCTCTCTTTTCTGTTTATTAGTCTTGCTAGCAGTCTATCAATTTTGTTGATCTTTTCAAAAAACCAGCTCCTGGATTCATTGGTTTTTTGAAGGTTTTTTTGTGTCTCCATTTCCTTCAGTTCTGCTCTGATCTTAGTTATTTCTTGCCTTCTGCTAGCTTTTGAATGTGTTTGCTCTTGCTTCTCTAATTCTTTTAATTGTGATGTTAGGGTGTGAATTTTAGATCTTTCCTGCTTTCTCTTGTGGGCATTTAGTGCTATAAATTTCCCTCTACACACTGCTTTAAATGTGTCCCAGATATTCTGATATGTTGTGTCTTTGTTCTCGTTGGTTTCAAAGAACATCTTTATTTCTGTCTTCATTTTGTTATGTACCCAGTAGTCATTCAGGAGCAGGTTGTTCAGTTTCCATGTAGTTGAGCGGTTTTGAGTGAGTTTCTTAAACCTGAGTTCTAGTTTGATTGCACTGTGGTCTGAGAGACAGTTTGTTAAAATTTCTGTTCTTTTACATTTGCTGAGGGGTGCTTTACTTCCAACTATGTGGTCAATTTTGGAATAGGTGTGATGTGGTGCTGAAAAGAATGTATATTCTGTTTATTTGGTTGGGAGAGCTCTGTAGATGTCTATTAGGTCCACTTGGTGCAGAGCTGAGTTCAGTTCCTGGATATCCTTGTTAACTTTCCGTCTTGTTGATCTGTCTAATGTTGACAGTGGGGTGTTAAAGTCTCCCATTATTATTGTGTGGGAGTCTAAGTCTCTTTGTAGGTCTCTAAGGACTTGCTTTATGAATCTGGGTGCTCCTGTATTGGGTGCGTATATATTTAGGATAGTTAGCTCTTCTTGTTGAATTGATCCCTTTACCATTATGTAATGGCCTTCTTTTGATCTCTGTTGGTTTAAAGTCTGTTTTATCAGAGACTAGGATTGCAACCCCTGCCTTTTTTTGTTTTCCATTTGCTTGGTAGATCTTCCTCCATCCCTTTATTTTGAGCCTATGTGTGTCTCTGCACATGAGATGGGTTTCCTGAATACAGCACACTGATGGGTCTTGACTCTTTATCCAATTTGCCAGGCTGTGTCTTTTAATTGGAGCATTTAGTCCATTTACATTTAAGGTTAATATTGTTATGTGTGAATTTGATCCTGTCATTATGATGTTAGCTGGTTATTTTGCTCGTTAGTTGATGCAGTTTCTTCGCAGCCTTGATGGTCTTTACATTTTGGCATGATTTTGCAGTGGCTGGTACTGGTTGTTCCTTTCCATGTTTAGTGCTTCCTTCAGGAGCTCTTTTAGGGCAGGCCTGGTGGTGACAAAATCTCTCAGCATTTGCTTGTCTGTAAAGTATTTTATTTCTCCTTCACTTATGAAGCTTAGTTTGGCTGGATATGAAATTCTGGGTTGAAAATTCTTTTCTCTAAGAATATTGAATATTGGCCCCCACTCTCTTCTGGCTTGTAGAGTTTCTGCCGAGAGATCAGCTGTTAGTCTGATGGGCTTCCCTTTGTGGGTAACCCAACCTTTCTCTCTGGCTGCCCTTAACATTTTTTCCTTCATTTCAACTTTGGTGAATCTGACAATTATGTGTCTTGGAGTTGCTCTTCTCGAGGAGTATTTTGTGGTGTTCTCTGTATTTCCTGAATTTGAATGTTGGCCTGCCTTGCTAGATTGGGGAAGTTCTCCTGGATAATATCCTGCAGAGTGTTTTCCAACTTGGTTCCACTCTCCCCATCACTTTCAGGTACACCAATCAGATGTAGATTTGTTCTTTTCAC
The DNA here is from genome assembly GCF_000001405.40 of Homo sapiens. Lineage (NCBI taxonomy): Eukaryota > Metazoa > Chordata > Mammalia > Primates > Hominidae > Homo > Homo sapiens. Next base: position 110,326,477 of record NC_000004.12, read on the forward strand.
ATAGTCCCATATTTCTTGGAGGCTGTGTTCATTTCTTTGTATTCTTTTTTCTCTAAACTTCTCTTCTCGCTTCATTTCATTCTTTTGATCTTCCATCACTGATACCCTTTCTTCCAGTTGGTTGAGTCGGCTACTGAGGCTTGTGCATTCATCACATAGTTCTCGTTCTGTGGTTTTCAAATCCATCAGGTCCTTTAAGGACTTCTCTGCATTGGTTATTCTAGTTAGCCATTTGTCTAATTTTTTTTCAAGGTTTTTAACTTCTTTGCCATGGGTTTGAACTTCTTCCTTTAGCTCAGAGTAGTTTGATCTTCTGAAGCCTTCTTCTCTCAACTCGTCAAAGTCATTCTCCATCCAGCTTTGTTCCATTGCTGGTGAGGAGCTGTGTTCCTTTGGAGGAGGAGAGGTGCTCTGATTTTCAGAGTTTCCAGTTTTTCTGCTCTGTTTTTTCCCCATCTTCATGGTTTTATCTACCTTTGGTCTTTGATGATGGTGAAGTACAGATGGAGTTTTGGTGTGGATGTCCTTTCTGTTTGTTAGTTTTCCTTCTAACAGAGAGGACCCTCAGCTGCAGGTCTGTTGGAGTTTGCTGGAGGTCCACTCCAGACCCTGTTTGCCTGGGTATTAACAGTGGAGGCTGCAGAACAGCGGATATTGGTGAACAGCAAATATTGCTGCCTGATCGTTCCTCTGGAAGTTTTGTCTCAGAGGAGTATCTGGCCATGTGAGGTGTCAGTTTGCCCCTACTGGGGGATGCCTCCCAGTTAGGCTACTTAGGAGTCAGGGACCCACTTGAAGAGGCAGTCTGTCCATTCTCAGATCTGCAGCTGCATGCTGGGAGAACCACTACTCTCTTCAAAGCTGTCAGACAGGGACATTTAAGTCTGCAGAGGTTTCTGCTGCCTTTTGTTTGGCTATGCCCTGCCCCCAGAGGTGGAGTCTACAGAGGCAGGCAGGCAGAGCTGTGGTGGGCTCCACCAAGTTCGAGCTTCCTGGCCACTTTGTTTACCTACTCAAGCCTCGGCAATGGCAGGTGCCCCTTCCCCAGCCTTGCTGCCGCCTTGCAGTTTGATCTCAGACTGCTGTGCTAGTAATGAGCGAGGCTCCGTGGGCATAGGACCCTCTCAGCCATGTGCAGGATATAATCACCTGGTGTGCCATTTGCTAAGACCGTTGGAAAAGTGCAGTATTAGGGTGGGAGTGACCCGATTTTCCAGGTGCCATCCGTCACCCCTTTCTTGGACTTGGAAAGGGAATTCCCTGAACCCTTGTGCTTCCCAGGTGAGGTGATGCCTCGCCCTGCTTTGGCTCATGCTGGTGCACTGCACCCACTGTCCTGCACCCACTTTCCGACACTCCCCAGTGAGATGAACCTGGTACCTCAGTTGGAAATGCAGAAATCACCCGTCTTCTGTGTCGCTCACACTGGGAGCTGTAGACTGGAGCTGTTCCTGTTCAGCCATCTTGGCTCCACCCCGAGGAAGGACCATTTTTAAAAAGGTCATCTCTACTTAACGTTCCCTTTTAAGCTGGAAAGGACTGTAATACCATGTTCCTGAAACAACTGACTGGCTTTTTCCCCTAGTTGGTTGCCAAATCATTCTCTTTCCTGTTTTGTTTTCCTCCCTGGTGCAATTGGGCTTATTCCTAATACATGGTGGAAAAAAAAAAAAAGACAAATCACTTCCAGAAGCGACATTCTTAGCTTTATGTTCATCAGGCAAAGGTGAATAAGTTGTCTTAAGCAAAAAGACAGTGCTCTGATAAAACCAGCCTAGAGGGCTTCCAAATCTCAATCTCCTAACCTCCACCTTCTCAGTGTCTTCCTGCAGTACATCTCTCCACATCTAAGACAAACATAGGTTTGTTATTTGGTACTTCTATTTGTGTTGGGTTGTTTTAAACACTATCTCAAATGATGGAAAGGCTCCAACCCATTTGCTTTAACACATACTCCCAGCTCCTGACTTCTGCCAAGTACCATCTTCTCACGGAGATTGGGTCATGGCTTACTTCACTTTGTCCAGGTCTCAGTACAAATGGTATCTTGTCTGATAGGACTTCTATGACTGCCCCACCCCAAAATCATTCTCTGTGCTCTTACTGGTTTTATTTTTCCTCAAAATGTTGATGGCTGTTGTGAAAGCTGGGTCCTTTTCTGATATGGTTTGGCTCTGTGTTCCCACCCAAATCTCATGTTGAATTGCAATCCCCAGTGTTGAGGGAGAGACCCTGTGGGAGGTAACTGGATCATGGGGGCAGATTTCCCCCTTGCTGTTATCATGATAGTGAGTGAGTTCACATGAGATCTGATGGTTTAAAAGTGTCTTGTACTTCCCCCTTCTCTCTCTTTCTCCTGCTCCAGCCATGTAAGATATGCTGGCTTCCCCTTCATCTTCCACCATGATTGTAAGTTTCCTGAGGCCTCCTAGCCATGCTTTCTGTACAGCCTGTGGAACTGTGACTCAATTAAACTTCTTTTTTTCATAAATTACCCAGTCTCATGTAGTTCTTTATAGCAGTGTGAGAATGGACTAATACAGAAAATTGGTATCAGGAAAGTGGGGCATTTCTATAAAGATACTTGAAATGTGGAAGTGACTTTGGCTGGGTAAGGGACAGAGGTTGGAAGAGTTTGGAGGGTTCAGAAGGTAGGAAGATGTGGGCAAATTTGGAAGTTCCTAGAGACTTTTCGAATGGTTTCAACCAAAATGCTGATGGTGATATGGACAATGAAGTTGAGGCTGATGTCTCAGAAATGAGGAACTTATTGGGAACTGTAGTAAAGGTCACTCTTGCTATGCTTTAGTGAAGAGACTGGTGGCATTTTGCCCCTGCCCTAGAGATCTGTGGAAATTTGGACTTGAAAGAGGTGAGTTAGGTTATCTGGCAGAAGAAATTTCTAAGCAGCAAAGCATTCAAGATGTAACCTGGGTGTTTCTAAAAGTGTATGCTCATATGCATGAACCAAGATTATCTGAAACTGGAACTTATATTTAAAAGGGAAACAGAGTTTAAAGTTTGGAAAATTTGCTGCCTGGCCATGTGGTAAAAATGAAAAATGCCTTTTCTGGGGAGAAATTCAAGCCTGCTGCAGAAATTTGCACAAGTAACAAGGAACTGAATGTTAATAGCCAAGCCAATGGGGAAAATGTCTCCAGGGCATTTCGGAGATTTTTGTGGCAGCCCCTCCCATCACAGGGAGGCCTCCTCCTGGAGGCGTAGGAGGGAAAAATGGTTTAGGGCCCCCTGCCCTATGCAGCCCCAGGACATAGTGCCATATGTCCCAGGTGCTCTAGCTCCAGTCTTGGATAAAAGGGGCCAAGGTACACCTTGGGCCATTGCTTCAGAGAGTGCAAGCCCTAAGCCTTGGTGGCTTCCACATGGTGTTGGGCCTGCAGGTATGCAGAAGGAAAGAGTTGAGGTTTGGGAACCTTTGTCTAGATTTCAGAGGATGCAGGGAAATGCCCAGATGTTCAGGCAGAAGTCTACAGTAGGGGCAGAGCCCTCAAGAAGAACCTCTACTGGGGCAGTGCAAAGAGGAAATGTGGGGTTGGAGCCCCCAGACAGAGTCCCTACTTGGGCACTGCCTAGTGGAGCTGTGAGAAGAGGGCCACCATCCTCCAGGCCTCAGAATTGTAGATCCACTGACCGCTTGCACTGTACACCTGGAAAAGCTAAAGGCACTCAATGCTAGCCCATGAAAGCAGCTGTAGGAGCTGTACCCTGCAGTGCCACAGGGGCAAAGCTGCTCAAGGTCTTGGGAGACCATCCGTTACATCAGTGTGGCCTGGATGTGAGACATGGAGTCAAAGAAGATCATTTTGAAGCTTTAAGATTTAGTGACTGCCCTGCTGGTTTTGGATTTACATGGGGCCTGTAGCCCCTTTGTTTTGGCTGATTTCTCTCTCTTGGAATGGGTCTATTTACACAATGCCTGTATCCTCATTGTATCTTGAGAGTAGCTTAACTTGTTTTTTATTTTACAGGCTCGTAGGCCAAAGCAACTTGCCTTGTCTCACATGAGACTTTGGACTTGGACATTTGAATTAATACTGAAATGAGTTAACAGTCTGGGGGACTGTTGGGAAGGCATGATTGTGTTTTGAAATTTGAGAAGGACATGAGATTTGGGAGGGGCTGGGGTGGAATGACATGGTTTGGCTCTGTGTCTCCACACAATCTCATGTTGAATTGTAATCCCCAATGTTGAGGGAGAGACCTAGTGGAAGGTGATTGGATCATGAGGACGAGATATCCCCCTTGCTGTTCTCATGAGTGAGTTCTCATGAGATCTGATGGTTTAAAAGTGTGTGGCACTACCCCCTTCTCCCCCTTTGTCTCCTGCTTTGCCACGGTAAGATGTGCTTGCTTCCCCTTCAACTTCCACCATGATTGTAAGTTTCCTGAGGTCTCCTAGCCGTGCTTCCTGTTCAGCCTGTAGAACAGTGAGTCAATTAAACCTCTTTTCTTCATAAATTACTCAGTCTCAGGTAGTTCTTTCTTTCTTTTCTTTTTTCTTCTTCTTTTTTTTTTTTTTTTGAGACGGAGTTTTGCTCTTTTTGCCCAGGCTGGAGTGCAATGGCATGATCTCGGCTCACCGCAAACTCTGCCTCCTGGGTTCAAGCGATTCTCCTGTCTCAGCCTCCCAAGTAGCTGGGATTATAGGCATACACCACCACCCCAGCTAATTTTGTATTTTTAGTAGAGATGAGGTTTCTACATGTTGGTCAGGCTGGTCTTGAACTCCCGACCTCAGGTGATCCACCAGCCTTGGCCACCCAAAGTGCTGGGATTATAGGCATGAGCCACTGCGCCTGGCCTCAAGTAGTTCCTTATAGCAGTGTGAGAATGGACTAATACATTGTCTTCTTAGTTTAAAAGAATTTAAATAGGAGACACACAGCAAATGAGATGCAGCATAGAGCAATTTCTTGCAAAGGAGAAAGAATACTCCAAAAGTTAGTTGTAGAATAGGCAGCGTGCTCTGAGAGAGAGGATTCCAGGCAGGCTGCTCGTGAGGATGACAGCATTGACTGTTACTGGGTAAATGCTGTTTATGGGAGTATTACATGATATTCCTAAGAGGGTGGGAGGAAGCGTAACTAGTAAGCATGTTCTGGGTAGCCCTCTGGGTGCACATTCGCAGTAGCTGTACATGCTTGTTCTAATGACCAAAGGGTCAATTTGAGGACAGGCAAAATCAAAATACACTTGCTCTCTATGGAAGAAATGCCCTACTGGAGATAGCTGTACTTGAAGGAGTTTGGCTATGATGCAAATCCTGGGGCTTATTGTTTTGACAGTGCAGTGGCCACACTTCTCATATCCTGAGAACATGGTTACTTCCTTGACTACCTATCCTGCCTCAAGAGTGCATATCATCACCTGACACAGTATATGTCTGTTTGTTGTATTAGTGATCTCGCCTTGTTAGAATATAATCTACCCGAGGGCAGGGATTCTTGTGGTTCACTGTTATTTCCAAAGACCTGAGACAGTTCCTGGCACATCATAGACACTCAATAAACAGGTGATGAATAAATAAATCAACAGAGATTTTACCATGTTTTTTTTTAAACTGATCTAGTTTATCACTCTCTTATCTCTACAATTTATCTTTCACTCAAAGAACTAAAGTTATCTTCCAAAAACACAGAATGAATCAGCTCACTCTCCTCAAGACTCTTAAATGGTCCTTCATTACTTGTTGAGAAAAGCCCAGACTTGTTTAGTGGAGCAATTAAACTCCCCACAATTTATCTGCCAGAAGACTTTCTGGAACCATGTATGGTTTTTTTGCCCTCCAACTTACAGTCTTATTGGTCCATTTATTTTTTTCTCATCATGCCACACATTTTTGTGTCAGGTAATTTTAGTCTTTTGGCCTTGTTCTTACTATCAGCCAACTTCATAGTTGAAGTCCAGAGTTGGTTGTTGTTGTTGTTGTTGTTTTTTATCTATTTAGGTAGGAGTTACAATTTTTATTTGCTTTGTGACAGCATTATTTTCTGACACATTTTCTTCATATTCTTTTAAAGAGTTTCTTTTTTAAACCCATGTTATTCAAGGTTAAACAAATAACGAGTTTCTTTGTTTGGATGTTATGCTTACACTTACTTGAATATGTTGTTTTTTTTCCAGACTAGCCATTAGCAAGATTCCTGTGGAGTGAGGGAGTGCCCAGGGTAGTTCTCCAGATTATTCTGCTCAAATTCTTCCTCTTCTCATGCTGCAGTGATGAATTATTTCTTCAAAACTATGACCCCACTGTGTAGCTCCACCTTTCCTTGTTCTCACAAGAGTGTACAAAATCGTTGAGTCTTCTGAGCCATGGCTAACAAGAATCCTAGCTACTGCCTTCCACTATATCTTTCCCTTTTTAAAAGGAGCATTTTCTGAGTTTAGTCATCTCAGGCCTTCCTCGAGCTCTCTCCCTGGTTTTTCCCTCTGCCTTCTCCAGTTATTGCTCGCTATTCCATCTTGGCCTGGCATTTCCCATCATGGCAAGTCTGCATGGTTTCAGGAGAAAATGTTTGCTGTCAGTCTCTGAGACTGACCACTATCAGGCCCCTCTTTCTCCCATTCTTCCCAATGCTGGGACTGCACCAACGCTGCTTCTTGGGTCTGCTTTTCAGGTCTCTGATGTTTTGACCACACCTCAATGTCGTTTGGAACTTTGGCATTGTCATTTTTCTGAGGATGTAGTTTGTACCTTTTGTTGTGGTTGATAGTGTTGTCATCCTCATCGCTCTATCTGATTTCCAGAAGTGAGAAGATTCAAAACTATGCTGTTGCCATTTTCCTACCCAATTTATCCAATTGAAAGGACAATGCTTGAGTTTAAGATTCACGTCCTTCTTACTAATTTGGGGTTAATTTGTCCTTTCTCATGTCAAATGAAGATGGATAGGAAGACCTTTTTTTGGTGTTTTTTAATGCTCTGATTTAGACAAACAAAACCTAACAACTTTGTACTTGTCTCCGAATTTTTTTGAAATGTTATTGGTCTATGAAAGAATAAAGTCCAGAAACTACTGATATGTATTTGTGTATTTATCTATCATCTATCTCTCTCTCTGTGTCTATGTATCTCATCTTCTATCTCCATTATCTACTGATCTATCTATCTATCTATCTATCTATCTATCATCTGTCTATTCTGTGTACTTCAACATATATATACTATGGTCTAAGCACTCATCCAAGATGCAAAAGGAATATAGAAATTAAAAACAGCCATGGCTGTTAAGGAACTCAAAAGCTAGAGGGATCATAGAAATGCAATTGATCAACTTAGCGTGTAAGAGAGGGACCAGATCTATGCAACATGCTGCAGCAAAAGAGAGACAGGAGCTATGCTCACTAGATAAATTCGACATTTGAGAAAGCTGCATGGAGCCAATACTAATAATTTGGACTTTGGCTATTTGGTGGCTGAAATGGAAACAAAACAAAAAGACAAAACCACATTAATATGAAAGTATGTGGCATGTTTAGAAAAAGAAAGTGAACCAGAGAGGCTGGACAGGAAGGTGGAGGAAAAAAAATCACACATAGTGCCAGAAAGATAAATTTTGGACAGTTTAATTGCATTCTAAACAATTCTGGGAAGGCCAGGCGTGGTGACTCACACCTTAAATCTTAGCACTTTGGGAGGCTGAGGCAGATCACTTGAGGTCAGGAGTTTGAGACCAGCCTGGCTAACATGGTGAAACCCCATCTCCACTAAAAATAAAAAAATTAGCCAGGCATGGTCGCGTGCACCTGTAATCCCAGCTACTCGGGAGACTGAGGCACAAGAATCGCTTGAACCTGGGAGGCAGAGGTTGCAGTGAGCCAAAATCATGCCATTGCACTCCAGCCTGGGTGACAGAGTGAGACTCCATCTCAATAAACAAACAAACAAACAGAGAAACAAGTCTGGGCTTTATTCAATAAGAAAAAAATTCCCATCTGAAAAATTACTACACATAAGTTAGTAATCAGTAGTTTTCATGTATTCATCAGCAACTAATTAGTCCAAATGAAGATTGAGAAGCCACAAAAAAGATGAATTACATAGAAAAAATAATTTGAAACGAGAAAAACATATGAGAGAAAGGCTTCCCAATATTCATGAAAGAAATAAAAGAAGATTTGAAACTTTGAGAAGCTATACAATGTATGTGGATAGTAAAAGTCAATATTGTAAAGACATCATTCTCTCTAAGTTAGCTTACAAATCAAAGGTAATTACAATTAAAATATCAATATGTTGTTTTTGTGGAACAAAACAAATTGAGTCTGAAGTTCACAAGGGACAGTGAAAAAAGAAAATACCCAGGAAAACTCTGAAAAGGTAGAGCAGTAATAGGAGGTTAGCCTTACTAAATATTAATATATGCTATAATACTTTAATATTTAAAACAGTGCAGTACTGCAGCTGCCTGTACACAGACCAATGTAACAGAATAGAAAGCCCAGAAATGGACCCAAATAAATGTGAGGATTTATTCTGCTTATTTAATAGATGGGATAAATTTGACTGTTTAAAAAATGGTGCATTTGGGAAGTTACACAGACTGAGACAAAGCTAGACATATTTCTTTAAGTGAGGATAATTTCCAAATGAATAAAGTGGACAATAAATAAAAATACATGGCCAGGTGCAGTGGCTCACACCTGTAATCCCAGCACTTTGGGAGGCCGAGGTGGGCGGATCATCTGAGGTCAGGAGTTCGAGACCAGCCTGGCCAACATGGCGAAACCCTGTCTCTATTAAAAATACAAAAATTAGCCATGGGTGGTGGCAGATGCCTTTAAGCCCAGCTACATGGGGAAGGCTGAGGCATAAGAATCGCCTGAACCCGGGATGCGGAGGTTGCAGTGAGCAGAGATCTTACCTCTGCATTGGCGGATAGAGCAAGACTCTGTCTCAAAAAAAAAATACATGTAGTATGTGTATTTGTCTGTTTTCATGCTACCGATAAAGCTACCTGAGACTGGGATATTTACAAAAGAAAGAGGTTTAATAGACTTACAGTTCCATGTGGCTAGGGAGGCCTCACAATTATGGCAGAAGGCAAAGGGCACTTCTTACATGGCAGCGGCAAGAGAAAAGGACAGCCAAGCAAAACAGGTTTCCCTTATCAAACCATCAGATCTCATGAGACTTAGTCACTACTAGGAGAACAGTACGGGAGAAACTGCGCCCATGATTCAATTATCTCCCACCGGGTCCCTCTCACAACACACAGGAATTATTGGAGTACAATTCAAGATGAGATTTGGGTGGGGACACAACCAAACCCTATCAGTATGCTAATAAGGCCACCTAACTACTAGAAGAAAACATCAGCAAACTTCTTCCTACGTGGTGTGAAAAATGTCTCTCTAACTGTGACTTCAAATCCAAGATCAACAAAATTAGAAAACAGAAAAATACTAGCATATTTTATATATATATATATGATATGTAAAGCCTATTTTATATGTCTATATGGCATGGCAGTAAAGCCACAATAACAAAGTCCAGAAACAAATGGCGTCCTTGGAAAAGATATTTGCAACTTAGACATGAGTGGCTAATGTCCCTAATATGTAAAGATTCCCTAGAAATGGGAAAAGAACAACAGAGTCCAATTAGAAAGGCAGGCAAACTAAATGACTAGCAGATAACATGGAAAATAACCATAACAAATGGTCTTAAATATGAAAAAGTGCTCAGTATAAACATAAAAAGAACAACACAATTTAAAACTATATTTTGATGTCACTTCACACCTATGTTAGAAGATGTCACAAATTTTGACGTTATAAATGGATACTCTTTGCATTGCTTATGACCAAGGAAAAGTGTTACAATTGTCAGGTGAAGGGAAATTGGGCAATATTTATCAAAATTACAGCAGGTTCTCTTGGAAAATCTCTTCTACCATGGTGAATGTGCCTTTGTGAAATAATACGAACACAATTTTATTCATTGTGACATTGTTTATAATAGGAAGAGATTAGAATCAACTTAAGTAAAAGATAGAGAAGGCTGAATTAAAGAGGGGAGGAGGTGAGAGAATTGGAGGCTAACACTAATCTATGAGAAGTTTTTGGAAACATGAGGCACCATGGAAAAGGAAAGACCATTCTTTTTCAATATTTTCATGAAACATCAAATATTTTCATGAAGCTAAGTTTATCCAATATAATTTTATTTTGTTTTCAATAGGCAAGGCATTCATTCATTCTTGTTTGACTCTTAATATTTTCTGATCATTCTTTTTGCCTGTCTTTATTTAATGCTTTTTGCAGGACTCTGAATTCTCCATCTAGAATATATTTTCAAATGAAAACAATGATTTTGTTTGAAACAGTTGAACAACGTTTGAAAACAATGATTTTCAAAAATCAAATTTATATGAAAAGGAATATATTGGAATGATTCACTCCTATTCTTAATTTCATCCTTCCAATTTCATATCAACTCCACACACACATGACCACTTTCATTATCATAAATCATATCATAAAAAGCTGGTCACTGCCTGTGGTTGAAATTTCTTCCCTCTCCAGTGAAACCTCCATGCTCTGGCAACATTATTTTCCTAAATGTCATGTCCTGTCACTTCCCTCCTCAAAAACTTTAAATTGTTCTGCATTGTCTTATTATTGTGAATGTTTTCTCATCTTCTTAAAATTGTGGTAAAATTCACAAGTAAAATTAGCCAACTTAAAGTGTGCAATTCAGTGGCATTTAATAAACTCACAATGTTGTACAACCTTGGCCTCTATCTAGTTATAAAACATTTCCATCACCCCAGAGGAAGACCCCACACCCATTTAACAGTCACTCCTCATTCCCTAGAAATTTCCTAGTTTTTGGCAACCACTGATCTGTTTTCTGTTTCTGTGGATTTACCTATTCATATGAATGCAATCATGCAATTTCTTCCTCTCAGCATGTTTTTGAGTTTCATCCATATTTTAGCATATATCAGTTCTACATTCCTTCTTATGGCTAAATACTATTCCATTGTGTGGATATACCACATCTTGTTTATTTACTCATCAATTGATGGATATTTGGTTTATTTCCTCCTGTTGTAAATAGCATGAGCATCCACAGACAAGTTTATGTTTGAATATCTGTTTTCAGTTCTTGTGGGTGCAGACTGAAGTGTAGAATAGTTGGGTCATATGGTAATTCTATGTTAAATTAAAAAAAAGCAAACCTGACCAAACTCTTTCCACAGTACATTCCCACCAGCAACGTACAAGGGTCTTAATTTCCACACATCTTTGTCAGTACTTGTTATTTTCCTTTTTTTAAAAAAATTATAGTCATCCACTTGGGTGTGAAATGTGGTTTTGATTTGCATTTCCTTAATGACAAATAATATTGAACTTTTTTTGTCTGCTCCTTCTTGGAGAAATGTCTATTCACATCCTTTGTTCATTTCTAAATTGGGTTGTTTATCTTTTGTCGTTGACTTGTAACTGTTCTGTATGTGTGGTGGATATTAGATTCTTATCAGATATTTTATTTGTAAATATTTTCTGCCATTCTGTATGTTATCTTTTCACTTTTTTAATCATGTCATTTCATGTGCTGAAGTTCTTAATTTTGATGAAATCCAGTGTATCTATGTTTTCTTTTGTTGCTGTGTTTCTAGTAACATATCTAAGAATCCTTCAGCAAATCTAAGGTCATACAGATTTAACTTATATTTTCTTGTGTTTCATAATTTTTATTCTTACATTCAGGTTTTTGATTCATCTTGACTCAATTTTTATGCATGGTGTGAGGTGGAAGTCCAACTTCAATCTTTTTTATGTAGATAACTAGTTGAAGAGCGTATTCTTTTTTCAGTGAATAGTCTTATCACCTTTGTAAAAAAACAAATGGCCATAGATATATTGGCTTATTTATTTCTGAATCCTCAATCCTATTCCATTGATCTATATGTTTTCCACATATTAATACTACACTATTTTTATTATTGTACCTCTTAGTAAGTTTTCAAATCAGTAAGTGTGACTTCTCCAACTTTGCTTCTCTTTTTTAAGATTGTTTTGGTTCTTCGGGATCCCTTGCAATACCATATAAATTTTAGAATGAGCTTTTCCATTTCTATAAAAATATTATTGGGATTTAATAGTGATTACATTGAATCTGCAGACCACTTTGGGTAGTATTGCCATCTTTAAAGTATTGTCTTCTGATCTATGAACATGGAATGTCTTTCCATTTATTTAGGACTGTAGTTTCTTTCAACAGTGATCTATACTTTTCAGTGTACATGTCCTTCAACTATGTTGGTTAAATTTGTTTCTAAGTATTTTATTCTTTCTGATGTTATTGTAATGAGATTGTTTTCATAATTTATTTTAAGTTTCTTTATTGCTAGCATATATAAGTATAATTGAATTTTTAACATCAACCTTATATCCTGCAACTTTGCTGAACTTATTAGCTCTAACAATAATTTCTGTAAATTATTTAGGACTTTCTGTATATAGGATCATCTTTTTGTGAAAGGAAATAACTTTATATCTTCCTTTCCAATTTAGATGCATTTTATTTTTCTTTTCCTTCCTTCCTTCCTTCCTTCCTTCCCCTTCCTTCCTTTCCCTTCTTCCCTTCCTCCCTTTCTCTCTTTCTCTCTTTCTTTTGCCATAGTAGACAGCTAGAACTTTAGCACAGTGTTGAAAAGAAATGGTGAAAGTGGTATTCTTGTTTTGCTCCTAATTTTAGGAAATTTTTGTCTTTCACCGTGCATTAATATTGCCTGTGAATTTTTCAAAAATTCTCTTTATCACGTTGATGAAGTTCCCTTCTATTCCTACTTTGTTGAATGCGTTTCTCATGATATGATGTTGCATTTTGTCAAATGCTTTGTCTGCATGAGTTGAGATGATCATGTGGTTATGTGTTTTTTTTCCCTCCATCTATTACTGTGGCATATTATATTATATACCTGGTAAAAATCCCACTTGGTCATGATGCATAATCCTCCTAATAAACTACTGGATTTGGTTTGCTAATATTTTGTTGAATATTTTTGCTACTATTTTGTTGAGGATATATTCATCCTTCTTCGGTAAAATAGAACAACCCTACTTTTCATATCCTCTTTTTCCAAATTTATTTCCTTTAAGGTTTTCTTCTCAAATTCTAGGGTGTCATATCAGTGAAAATGTATTTCAAAGCATCTGTCCTGACACAGTAGGCATTCCAAAAGCACTAGCTTCTCTCTCTTTGTTTCCTTCTCTCACCAAAATAATATATAGATAAATAAATGTCATTTTAAGAGTCTCATGACTGTTCAATAACCTTTGTTTTAAGGAGATTTCTGTCTACTCGAATTCCAACTCAAACCTCTCGATATAGGGCATATATCCAACCCCTAGATATATGTCTTCAACCCCTGGATATAGGGCCTATTTATATAATATGTCAAAAAATATTTTCCCAAACCAATTAACACTTTTTCTGGGGAATTTTTTGAAGGATAAACTGCTGTGAGTTACTATGTTGAGAGGAAGTTTCTAGAAGGTAAAATGGAAGGGGAACTGACTGGGTTGCACATTCAACCCTTTCCCTATATTCTCTAAAATAAAGTGATTGTTCTGATCCATTTATGGTATACTTCAAGTTATAGTTAAAAGCAGATGCTACTCTGAGGCCACCTTAAAACTTACTCTATAACAGGATTTTATATAAGATCAAGCATCTTAATTTAACTTGTAGAGGTGATAAACCAAAACAGACCTCTGGCCCCCTGCTGAAATTAAAAAAAAAAAAAAGATTTTAACTTTTATTTTAGATTCAGAGGGTACATGTGCAAATTTGTTAAATGTACATATGCAAATTTGGGTACATTGCATGATGCTGAGATTTGGAGTATGAATGATTCAATCACTCAAGTAGTGAGCATAGTGCCCAAATAATTAGTTTTTTAACCCTTGCCCTGGTCCCTCCTTCTCCCCACTAGCAGTCACCAGGGTCTATTATTGCCATCTTTGTGTCCATGTTTACCCAAAATTTAGCTCCCACTTATAAATGAGAACATGCGATACTTGGTTTTCTGTTCTTGCATTAATTGGCTTAGGATAATGGCCTCCAGCTGCATTCCTGTCACTGCAAAGAATATGATTTTTTTTCATGGTTACGTAGTATTCCATGATGTATATGTACCAAATTTTCTTTATCCAGTTCACTGTTGATAGGCACCTAGGTTGATACCATGTCTTTGTTATTGTGAAGAGTGCTCTGATGAGCATGAATGCATATGTCTTTTTAAATTTTTATTTATTTTTATTATTATTATACTTTAAGTTTTAGGGTACATGTACACAATGTGCAGGTTAGTTACATATGTATACGTGTGCCATGCTGGTGTGCTGCACCCATTAACTCATCATTTAGCATTAGGTATATCGCCTAATGCTATCCCTCCCTGCTCCCCCCATCCCACAACAGTCCCCAGAGTGTGATGTTCCCCTTCCTGTGTCCATGTGTTCTCAATGTTCAATTCCCACCTATGAGTGAGAACATGTAGTGTTTGGTTTTTTGTCCTTGCGATAGTTTACTGAGAATGTGTCTTTTTCTGTAGAAAGATTTATTTTCTTTGGGAGTATATACCCAGTAATAGGTTTGCTGGGTTGCATGGTAGTTCTATTTTAAGTTCTTTGAGAAATGTCCAAACTGCTTTCCACAGTGGCTGAACTAATTTACATTTCCACCAACAGTATAGAAGCATTTCCTTTTCTCTGCAGCCTCACCAGCATCTGTTGTATATTTACTTCTTAATAATAGTCATTCTGACTAGTGTGAGATGGTATCTCATTGTGGTTTTGATTTGCATTTCTCTGATGGTTAGTGTAAGGTTTTTTATTGTTAAATTTCTTAGATTAGTAAAAGAAGTGTTATGGAATTTATGCAAATTTCATGGCTCACTGATTAGAACCTTCCTGCTCTTATCTGAATAAAATGATCATGAGTAAAGACTATATTTTGAGGTTATGTATACTTGTCTCTTACTCTCTTTCTGTCCCTCTCTTTCTCATTTTCTGGCATTTCCTGGCTTACTTCTGAGGAGAAATCAAATTTTTAGGTAAATAAACTCATCTATTGTTGGTGGAAATTACAATTACTTTGACCTTTCTGTGCATTGACTGTGTTTGCAATTCTAACACTCATGTTGATAACATGCTTTATGACAATTCCAAAAACTGAAGAAATGCCCTCCAATGTGTCAGCTTTCTTAAATCAACTTTAGTAAATGGATTTTTGTTTTTCTACATTACCACCTCTTCTAAAGGTCTCTGATACCATGTGGTTAGGAAAAAATTTTCATATAATAGAATTGCTTCTGACCTTTTATCTTACCATACCCTCAAAATTATGCTAGGCTTTATATGCCATGGTGTGTGATATAAATTTATTTATAGATGGAAGACCTTACTGTCATTTTTTCAGAAAATAATTCGCAGATATGATCATTTTCACAAATGAAGAAGTTAACATTCAATGAAAGAAATTATAGACATGGTAATAAAAAAGTGCAGCTCTTTCTTCAAATGGAAAACTATAGACATTAAAAGTGTTATGAATTAAAAGAGACTTAAAAGGCAAAAACTAGATGTAATAGGTGTACTTTTAATACTAATTCGAACAAATTCAACTGTAAATAGATAGATATTTTGAGGACCTTAGGTAATTTTGGATATGAATTGGATACTAAATTAATTATTATTGAAAATAAATTATTACTGAGTTAGGTACAGTAATAGTATTATAGTTAGGTAGAAAAATGCCCATATCTTTTAGGGTGGTACCCTGATACATTAAGGTTTAAGATGTCAGTAAAAATAGAAACAAATGTTAAAAATAATAATTGTTACATCTGGGTGATAGGTGTATTCTGACATTTTTTATAATAAAGTTAAAAATGTCAATTAAAGTGTACGTGTTTAGTAAAGAGGGAAAATATTTTTGGTGAGATTTTTACTGAAAGCCTTTATTTTTTCTTTTAACATCAGAGAAGATTTATATTTAGAATTCAGGAGCAATTTCCAGTGACAGATCACTTTAGCTTTTTCTGTCATTCAGTTAGAAGCTAGTGACATTTCAATCTGAATGAAAAATACTCTGAAATTGAAGGACCACCAAAGCACTCCTGAATCTAACATATTTTAAATACAAATGATTTCTGAAATTAAAGTAATTGATGGCAAAATCTGGTGAGGAGGCTGTCTTAGTTTTTGTTTGCTCTTGTAAGGCAATGATGGAATATTCAGTAATGGCTGTGTTAGCAGTCTCTCTTTTATGGTTATTGACTCTGTCTTCCACAGCTTGCTGCAGTAGTAGTGATAGTGACATGAGACAGACAAATTCCTAGGCAGACAGGGATGGGTCCCTGGTGAAACCAGACCTTCAAGCCAAAGCCAGTTTAAAATTTGAAAACTGAGAGGCTAGTTCAGGATAGAGCCCACGACTGAAGTGAGAACTTCTATTCCTGTCTTACCTTCTCCCTCCATTGGTTCCTTCTGGATAATGTCTTTTAACCAGTCAAATTGTGCTTTTTCCAAGCTTGCCCATGGACCAATCAGCACACACTCCCTCATTCTAAGCCCATAAAAACCCCAGACTCAGCCTCACAGGCAGCTATGTCTGCTTTTGGGGTTCCCTCTTGCAGCTGTGAGCTTTTCTTCTGTCACTCAATAAAATACTTCTCTGCGTTACTCACTCCGTGATGTCCACGCACATCATTCATCTTGGTTGTGAGACAAGAGCCCAGAACTTGCTGAGCTGCAGACAATGGCAATAAAAGAGCTGTAACATGCTCCTGCTCATGGGACCACAGGAGAAAGAGAGCTGTAACACCCCCCACCCCACCACCTCACCAAGCTGCAGGAACAAAGAGCTGTGACATTTCTGGAGGCTCAGATGTTGGGACTCCTTGAGCAAGAGCTGTAACACCTTTGGGGCACCACAGTTGCTATCATCTCTGAGTTTTTGGGTGCCACCATGTTCCCCTCATCTAGATGCTGGCACCCACCATGGAAGCTGATCACGGCATGCCCAGTCCAGCAGTGGGCTGAATGTGGAGCTGTGGCAGGAATGGGATCTGAGTGGGCATGAGCCAAGCACAACCTGCAAGGCTGAGCAGGTAGAGTGAGCCCAGTGGGCCCAAGCAAGGCCGGATAGAGGCAGTGGTGGCTACAGAGATTTCCAGCTGACAAAGCAGCACTCATGAAATCCTGTAACACTAGAGCCACACCCAAGTATGGACCAATATCAGGGTGGTAATTCTTCAAGATTAATATTCTGTTACAGGAATCACCAAGTCAAGTGGTACGGTCTACTGGCAGACAATCAAGTGCAGAATTTTCTCAGTTTGGTCATCCCAAATAATTAAGTCTAAATTCTGGAAGCCCAGGAGTGCAACTTGGTGGATGGAATTAGGGCAAGTCAAGAGAACCTATTAAAAAGGAATTAAATTGAAGTAATAATTAAATCAAATTGTGGGCAACAGTCCTGCTTTTTTCCCTGCAATGTTATAGGATGTTTAGTTCTTCCCCTGAATAAATTATTCAAGGCCATATTCACCTTGAGCCCTCTTGCCTTTCTTTTCAAAATCTCCATATTCTACTATAGTTCCAACAAATGGAAACCAGTATTACATTTTACATATTTTTAAGAGTTATTATGGCAGATTGAAATGAGCACAAGCTTTTGAGTTGGAGTCGGCCATGTTAAGTTTGTGTTGCAAGTTATACATAAAGGTGGAGTTATCCAGAAAGAAGTTAAAAATGTGGGACTGGAGATGGTGGTAGAAGTTAGGATTGAAAATCTTAGAGGCAGGGGTTGAAACTGTAAAAATGAAAGAGGCCTGGTGGTGGGGGTAGAGTGTAGGATATAGAATAGTATGGAACACACATGTTTGAACCTAGATGAAAAGCTCCATTTAAAAATAGCTAGAGAAATGAAGCATGAAAATTAGCCTCTGAAGAAGTAGGAAAGGCAGGAGAAAAACAACATAACCCAGAAAACCCTAGCAGTACCAGAAGTAAATGGTTTAAAAAAATATTGCATTATGGAGATGTGAGCTATAGAAAGACTATTGAGGAGGTTGGAGAAACTACTACTGAATCTGGCATTCAGGAGCTTATTGGTGATTCTCAAGGGAGGAAGATTTAAGGTATGACTAATTAGTAATTAAAAATTCCACCCCTGCTCAAGAACAGTAAATAGAGTTTTGTTTTGTTTTTAAATTTGAGATGTTTGAGTACATTTATAGGTCAAGGAGGATTCACAGAAAGGGGAAGAATGATGATGCAAACAAATGAAAAAAAGATGATGGATTCAAGAATTCAGAATGAGAAATTTTCTTGCAAGAGAGAAGGAGGAATATCCAAAGAAAATTTTAGTTTGCAAACTGAGGTGCTTATTTTGATATGATCTTTTTCTTCCTAGTGAAAATAAGAAGCTAGGAAGTTCTAATGAAGAGAAGGGGAGGTCATTTCAACAGCTATTAACAATTTTAAAATCTGTTTTATTTTTTCTTTAAGATTGGTGGAAGGCGTTTTAAGCTTTCATTTATAAAACGACTTGCCAAGATCACAAAGCTGGTATTAGAGCTGGCGCTAAGCAGTGTGGGGCTAGGGCTGGGAGTGATCATTGTATAGCAGTGAGTTTTTCTCTTCTTTTTATTTTCTTTTGTCTTTCTCATGTCTTTTTTCCTTCTTTCCTTTCTTCCCCCTTTCCTTCCCTTCTTATTTTCTTTTTTGAGTGGCTTTATTGAGGTACAATTATGAAATCACTCACTGTTTGTATAATTAGATGATTTCTAGGAAGCTCATATAGCTGGGCAACCATCATTGCAATCTGGGTTTAGGTCATTCCTATTACTCCAAAAAGTTGCTGTGTGCCATTTGCAATCAGTTTCACTCCCAACCTCAGGCCCAGACAACCACAGATCGCTTTCTATCTCTATGGATTTGCTTTTTCTAAAAATTTCATTTAATGGAATCATAAAATATCTGATCTTTTGCATCTGGCTTCTTTCTTTGCATTGTTTTTCAGGTTCATCATATAGCATGTATCAGTAGCTTTTTCCTTTTTCTTGCTGAATAATATTCTGTTGTATGGATCGACATTTTGTTTCTCCATTTCTTCCAGCAACATGAGTGTGTTCATTTCACAGGAACTGGCATCCTCTTCAAAAGAAATTAATAGATGATTCAATTGTGAAATATTTTCATAATTTCTGCTTTAGTTGACCTATAATTTCTTCCTTACACAATAGCCAAGATATTCTCATTTATATTATGAGGAGTGTATTATAAACATTTTTTTCTAAACTCATGCAATTCTTGAATACAAACTTCACAAATCCACTATTAAAGCCCTCCTAGTTTTTGGTGGAGAATAAAAGATAATGAGTTTCTCTGACATGCTTAATACTTCCTTCTGGAAATGAAGATTAGTTGATATTAACTGAACCAAGTAAACCAATTAAGATGATGATGATATGATTAAAACCCTTAACTGTATTTTACTTTTTACAAACTTTTATATCATTTCAGTCAATTCTTTTAACAGGCCCATTGTGGTATGCAGGAGTGGTATTTGAATCCTCATTACAGGTAATGAAACAGATTAAGAGAAGTTAAGAGCTAAAATCTCATAGGGCTGAAACTCAAACCTAAGTGCCCCGGTGCTGTTTATATTCCACCCACACACTATTCCATTCCCCATGTGTCTTGTCTTATTCTAGGTGTCTGTGTGTGTGTGTGTGTGTGTGTGTGTGTGTGTGTGTGTGTGTACGCATGTGCCTGTGGAGCCCAGTGCCAAATGAATATATGGGGCACCTTGTTAAAAATTATTGAGTATTTCAAGATGGCGACAGCAGAGTCTTAAACCAAATACAGGGCCCTTGTGAGCACAGGGTCCTCTTGGGCCACACAGGTTGTGTGCCCATGAAGCTGGCCATGAGCTTGTGAAAGAATGCCCTATTCAGGAAACTACTGGTAAGATTGGAGTGTCAGATGTGGAAGTAGAGAAGCAAGGCAGAGTTACTGCTCCCATCTATTTACTCTGAGATGGGAGTAGTAATATATAGAAGCCAGGCCACTAAAATTTTATGTTCCATGCTACTATTTTTAATGTATTCCAAAGGCAGAGAAAGTCACCTAATAATTTTAACTGAAAGAATTGCAATCACATTTATATTTTAGAAAAAAATCAATCTGATCTATATTTCAAGGACGGATTTTCAGGTGTGAAAATGAAAAGAGGAATATAAATTTGGGGAGAAATATCAGTATTCCAGGTTAGAGGAGAAGAGGGCCTCAAGGCAGTGGAATTTGAAATGCTGAAGAGGGGGTGACGTGGGGGATCCTGCTCCTTGCCTTTGAATGCCTTGACAGCCAGAAGCACTCTGGCACCTCATTGTGCCTCAGTCTGGAAAGTCCCTCCAGAGAGCAAGCTGGGGGCTGATGGTCAGGCTGACCACATTTGCATCCCTCCATTAGGAAGCATGGTGGTGGGCTGCCAATGTCTAAAAACAATCACTTCATGTATTTTTCCCAGTTTGAATTTCTTTTAGTTGTTGAAGGGCAAGTCCAGTAACAGTTTATTCATTATGGTTGAGTGGAAAACTGTGGTTTATTTTTAAATTTAGTAATTCAGTAGCTTCATCTGAGATAGTATTGCCCCCGGTGGGTTAGTTCTCCGACATCCTGGGAGTCATTTCTGGAGGGTGGTGGAATAAGAAAGCATTTTTAAAATATTAAATTAGGTATCAACTACCTTTCTATCTCTCTCTCTCTCTCTCTCTCTCTCTTTCTCTCTCTCACACACACACACACACGCACGCACACACACACATTCTTGAATGCTTTATAGAATGGGAGAAAAAGGCTCAGAACTACAGATTCATTCACATAATGTGAAGCCTATTTAAGTATACTCATGAATGTGTCACACATTTGAACTTCAT
This sequence comes from Homo sapiens, assembly GCF_000001405.40. Taxonomy (NCBI): domain Eukaryota; kingdom Metazoa; phylum Chordata; class Mammalia; order Primates; family Hominidae; genus Homo; species Homo sapiens. The sequence goes on from NC_000004.12 coordinate 110,347,461, forward strand.
CTTTTATGTGTAGCAACAGCAGATGTTGAAAGTATAACCCCAACGCAGACAGACATTATGGTAAAGCTTTCAATGGGATAGGGAGTAGAGATTTACTGTCATCACTAAACATGCAATTGATTTCACCATTCATGTGAAGTGCTAAATGAGATTAATTTGTTAGTCAACTGGAGCCCTGTGTGAACTTTAGTATATGTCAGTAGTCTCTTGGGAAAGGATGTTCCACCTTATGATTAGGAAGAGAAGACTCAGGTTAGGTTTAGGGGATCAGAAATTGTGGGTGGGAAGAGAGAATGATCTGTCTCTGAGATCATGGCTCACTGCTCTGGTAATTCAGAAGGAGCGAGCTGCAAACAAAGGCCATCTAAGGCTAAGAGAGAATTACAAATCAGTTGTATTGCCAGAGAGGTGGTCTCTGCTATGCTATCCGTTTATACTTGGGATTAGTGAGAACTCCCAACTTCTTGCAGTTATCTGATGAAACAAATGACACTTGCTATAGTACAAAGTCATTTTCTCATGAGTATCATGTACAGCTTCTACGGAAACCACGCAGTTTTGCAATGGTAGGAAAGTAAATGTTTATTTGGGCTTGGCATAGAACTAGATACCAAATTTTCTGTTTCTCAAGAGTGTTTTTCTTTGAAAGAACTCTCCCCGTCTTTCCTTTTTTTCCCCTTTTTTTAGAGTCCTTTGGCCTCTGATCCCACAAAGGCATCAGTCTCCACTTCAATAACTTCTATCCTATAATTTAAGAAAGCTGACATTATTTGGAATTCTGAAATCAATACCTGCCCAGTCAGCATTGCCCCTTATAGAGATAACTGTCTGTATGATTCACACAGTAGAGAACGCATAAGCTTTAAATCAACCATCCTGCACTTGTTCAGCAATTCTATATCCTTGCACTAGTATTTAATTAGTTTATAGGAGCAAATCTATCATGTATGTATGTTAACTATAATTAGGTATAGCATGAAGAAAAGTGTTGTTCTTAATAAATCTCTTTGCATTGCATTGTATTGTGAAACATTGATTTTTCAGAAGAAAATTATCTTCCAGGAAGAGAAAAAGGGTGACAAAACTCTAGATCTCCAGTTTCCAAATTCCACTACTTCTCTGCACCACAGTAGTTTGGCTATGACTATTACTTTAGATCTTCAGGTTAAGCTTTCCAGGAGTGTTTTTTTTGCTTGTTTTTAGTAGTTAGAATATGATGCCATTATATAACTTTAGATGCTTTAAATTGTGTTGTCTAAAAAATATTTACCAAATATTTACTGATGCTTACTATGTATAAACTATCATCCCAGGTGAAGGGGTTACCTGTAGTTTTTACAAATCAAAGCAAACTGTTGCTTTAAAAACAAATTATCTTTCTCTATGGAGCCTAATATGGCAAACAGACAATCTGGAGCAACCTAGACCCCACAGGGCTCCAATGCCTATGATTGTGTCTGATGCTGGCTTAGGTACCGTACTAGTCAGAGTTCTCTAGAGAAACAGAACCAATGGAGGATCTGTTTCTATGTGTATGTGTGTACGTATGTATATCTAGATCTAGCTCTCTAGAATTATCTATCTATATAGACTATCTATTGAAAGAGATTTATTTTAAGAAATTGGCTCACAAAATTATGGAAGTTGGTGAGTCCAAAATCTGTGGAGTAGGCTGGCAGCCAAATGACCGAGGGAAGAGCAAATATTGCAGTTCAGTTCCAAAGGCTGTCTGCTGGCAGAATTCACTCTTGTCTGGGGAAGGTCACTCTTTGTTCTGTGAAGGCATGCAACTGGTTAGATGAGGCCCACCTGCATTATAGAGGGCAATCTGCTTTACTCAAAGTCTGTCAATTTAAATGTTGATCTCATCCAAAAAAATGCCCTCACAGAAAATCCAAGATAATGTTTGACCAAATATCTGGGCACTGTGGCCCAGTCAAGTTGACACACAAAATTACCCATCTCAGGTAGCATATTTTCCATAAAGATAATAATGACAAATACTATATAGTACTTATTAACATGATAGGCACTGTTTTAAACACTTCACATGTTAACTGATTTATTTATTTATTTATTTATTTTTTCTGTTTCTTTAAACTTTTATTTTGGCTTTAGAGGTACGTATGCAGGTTTGTTATGTAGGTAAACTTGTGTCACAGGGGTTTGTTGTACACATTATTTTGTCACTCAGGTATTAAGCCTAGTACCCAAGAGTTATCTTTTCTCCTCCTCTCCCTCCTTCCACCCTCCACCCTCAAGTAGACACCAGTGTGTGTTCTTTTCTATGTGTCCATGTGTTGTCATCATTTAGTTCCCACTTATAAGTGAGAACATGCGGTATTTGGTTTTCTGTCCCTGCATTACTATGCTAAGGATAATGGCCTCTAGCTCCATCCATGTTCCTGCAAAGGACATGATCTCATTGTTTTTATGGCTGCATCGTATTCCATGGTGTTTATGTAACAAATTTTCATTATCCAGTCTGCCATTGATGAGTGTTTAGGTTGGTTCCATACCTTTGCCTTTGTGAATAGTGTGATAGAATGATTTATATTCCTTTGGGTATATACCTAATAATGGGATTTCTGGGTTGAATGGTAGCTCTGTTTTTAGCTCTTTGAGGAATCACCACATTGCTGTCCACAATGGCTGAATTAATTTACACTCCCACCAACAGTGTATAAGCATCTCCTTTTCTCTGCAACCTTGCCAGCATCTCCTTCCACTCTTTATTTTTCCTTTTCCTCTGCAGGGATGGAAGCTTACTTATGCCAGGTGGCTGATGGCCAAGGCCAAACCCAAAGACCACTGCAGCCCAGTCCTCAGGAAATGAAGTCCATCTCTGCAGCACTGGAGGAGGGTAAGAGAAGCAGTTGGTGGGCGCCGTTTATTCTGGTCCCAGTCCCGGAAGGGCCACAAACCATGGTTGCTCCAGGTAGCAGGCACAGCCCCCTATGTAAACTAATTTAATTTTCACTATAATCCTTTAAGAGACTATTATTATTCTCATTTTACAGGTGAGAACACTGATGCAGGTAGAGATTAATAACTATGGTCAATCCATAGCTAGGATGTGGCAGAACAAGGCAGTTGTGTTTATAACCATTATGCTATATTGCAGGGTTAAAAAAAAGATTGTGTAGAGTCTATTTTTTATTTTTTAATTACAGAAGACTTCTCCAATCAAGCAACGAGAAGGCATACCTGGCATCCTTCTCTGCTCAGAGAACATGCTGTTAGGTCTACTCAGTAAACATTTCCTACCAATGACTTAGCTGATACAAAATATCAATTTCAAACTTCCTCTGACACACATACTACTATCCCTGAAACTATTTTCACAAAGAAAAATTATTTCACATCCTCAACTGAAATTTTATCAATTTTCATTTTTATTATTTTATCACAGTCTATATTAAGCCTAATAAAAATAAATATTTGGATAATATTTATTCATTCATCCATTTAAGACTTCAGTGAAAATTTACTGAATATCTCTTACGTGTCAGACACATTAACCTATGGTCAAGTGCTTTATTTAAGCAGTTTGGGAGGCCAAGGCAGGAGAATTGCTTGAGCCCAGGAGTTGGAGACCAGCCTGGGCAGCAAAGTGAGACCTCATCTCTAAAAACAAACAAACAAAAAAATTACCCACGTGTGTTGGCATGTGCCTGTGGTCCCAGCTACATGAAGCTGAGGCAAGAGGATCGCTTGAGCCTGGGAGGTTGAGGCTGCAGTGAGTGAGCCACGATCACACCACTGACTCCAACCAGGGGGACAGAGAGAGACCCTGTCCCAAATAAATAAACAAATAAAAAGTAAATAAATGAATGAATGAATAAATAAATACATAAATAATCTCATTGAGTTCTTGACATCAATTCTATGAGATAGGTTGTTTTTAAGTAAACTATCAGTCAGGGGCCAGTTAGAAACCACACTAGGTTTTTAAATAGAGGGGATTTAATATAGGGAATTAGTTAAGCAGACATTGGAATCTGAAAAGCAAATAAAAAGATGACTGAGGTAACCCAGAGAAGGGATTACCATAACCTAAAATCTTAGAGGAGGAGCTCTACAGAAGCAGGACTCAGACCCCTAGGGACTGAAGAAGCTAGAAGCTTGAATCAAGGCTGCTGTTGGGCAGAGCTGTTTTCAGGGTGACCTGACAAGAACAGCATGCAAACACAAAGGCCTAAGGCACTTTTACCTCCAGCCTTCCAGTCTTATTTTGTGCCCCCATTAGTGGATCCTGTCAAGAAATTGCCATTTCTTGATAGGATGCGCTAACAAATAGGAGGGAGGGACCAGCTACAGTGGCTCATGCCTGCAATACTAGCACCTTGGGAGGCCGAGGTGGGCTGATCACATGAGCCCAGTTCAAGACCAGCTTGGGCAACATGATGAAACCCCATCTCTACAAAAAATATAAAAATTAGATCAGCTTGCTAGTGCGCAACTGTAGTCCCAACCACTTGGGGAGCTAAGGTGGGAGGATCTCCTCAGCCCAGGAGGTCAAGGCTGCAGGGAGCCGTGATTGAGCCACTGCACTCCAGCCTGGGTGACAAAGTGAGATCCTGTCTCAAAAATACAAAAACAAAAAAGCCACACACACAAAAATCCCCACCAAAAACAAAGAAAAAAAAAAAAGAAGAATAGGAGGGAGGGTTTGGAGCTGAGAGACAACTTAATTATTGGCACATACATATTTTACAAGTGCTCGCAAGAACAGCCTTTCCTGACATGGAGAACTATGATAAAAATATATTTAAAATAAGTCTTCAGAAATATTCTGTGATGAGTATGTAGAATTATTCAATGCAAATTTGTGTAATAGAAATATTTCCCACCACTCTTTTTTATAACTAGACCGTATAATGTTGAAACAGCTATTTACTTTTGCAGAACATAATTTTCCTGTATCAATGTTTGGTTTTGATTTAAAACTTAGTCAAGGAGTTTAGTATCCAGGATATTTTAACACATTTAAAAGGCACTTTAGCTGATCTGAATGCCAAACTGGAGTAGGGCTATCTTCTTAAAGCTTGGTAAATGAGATAGATTAAGCAGTTTACGCTGGTGAGAGTTTAAACTGAGAGAGAGAGAGATTAATTTTTTAATTTTTGGTAGAGGCAGGGTCTCCCTATATTGCTCAGGCTTATTTACATTTTAAAAGGTGGTTTACTTGAGAAACACATAAAAACATGAAAGAATACTTCATAGGCCACTTCACACAGTAAAATAAGCAATGATAACATATCTGTTTTTGCAAGCATAAATATACATACTAAAAACAGTTGTGTGGGTGTAACAGTATGAGTAGATGAACCATATTTATAAAGAAACAGGGCAAAAAGGGAAATGAATAAATGCATGTCACTATGGTTGGTAATTGTGTGCACTCCACTTTATAACTGTGGTCATCTGAAGTACGGTGCTAAGCAACTGGAGCCTTTGACAAGATCTATCAAAAACTGTGATGGGTCACCACTGCATATGCTGTCGCCCAGAGAGCCAAGAAATTTTGTCTTTCACAAATGCAGATGTACAAAAAGGACATCTCTTCATTTATTGAGGGACTTTCGACATTTTGTATGTACACACACAAGTATACACAAGTCAACGTTGTGTGTACTTTTGTGGAGTCAAATTTGCATAAAGTAAATTAGAGCTCTCTAAAAATCTCTACACAATTTATACCTCCAATACTGGAAATGATGCCAAGAAAAAATACAGAGCACAGTGAATTGTCAAAAATAATGCTGACAATTTAAAATAGTGGGAAAAGCTAAAAAAAAGAAGAAAACAACAACAAAACAACTAAAAAAATCAACATATGAAAAAGTATGTTACAGGGATAGGTTATGGGAAATTGCACAGAGATACTCTATAAGAGATGGCCAGCTTTTACAATCATTAACTGCATTTTGAAGTCTCGCATTACAATGAATAGCTGCTTTTTCTTTCTTTTAGGACATGGCTTTTCTTGGAGAATATGTTCATATTCATTTTCTATGTGGTGCTGCTCTTTTTAAAATTTATCTGATTCCTGTGATTGTGATTTTGGGGATTTTAGACTTTAGGGATTTTGATCTTTTGGGATTTCAACATTTGGGATTGTGGTGTTCAGGATTGTGTCTTTTGAGATTATGATCCAAATCCCATGAAAGGGATGCCCCTCCAGGTGTCAGCCTCCTTTGTGGGTACTTCTCCAGCTCCAGTGCTAGTTTATCTTCTTCTGGCCCCAACATCTGCCCATTTGGTCCCAGTCCACGACTAGTTCTTAAGGATCTCACAGACTCTTCTAAAAAGAAAGAAGACCATTATGTTTCTCTCAAGTCCTAACTGGGTTTATCCATGGCTAAATTTTGATCTAGCAGGGACCAGAGAGAAGACACTAATGATTACAATCCTAGAACAGCCCTCCACACAGGTCAGTGGTGTGGCATGAGGGGCACTGAAATATGCCCCCTCTGAGGGTCCCTCCTCAATTTGCTCATCTCTGAGCTGTAGTTCACTCCTGGCTGACCTCTAATTCCCTTTCCAAATTTGACATCGGGGTTAAATGATAAAGATGTAGATATTGTTTATAAATAGTCCTTATAAAAATGTATGTTGCCTGAGAAGGGACAGAGACTTCAGGAGTACTTACAAGCCAAAAATCGTGGTTCAATAATGTTCCTTTTGAGTCCCTGACACTGTATGAAATAATGACTTAGGGCAGGATTAGCCCAAGGTAATTTTGTCGCAATAAGGGAACATCGTTGGAACTTGCTGTTTTCTTATTGATGTTTTCAGGACTCATTACAAAATATCTTCTAATGCCAGTAAGAATCCTTTTAAAAGCAGGAAGCTGGATGGCTGCAGGCAAGGCAAATCAACTTTCAAGATCAACAGTCAATTCAAGACAGGTCCTAGTGCACAAAAATAACTACCTTAGAACATAGTGATGTTTGGTACTTGAGATTATTGAGTCACGAACTACTTTTCTTGATTCCCTTGTGGGTTCCATTTTTTTCCCTCTCAGCTCTGCTTCCCAGGGACTAATGTCTTCCATCACTATTAAAAGCAGTAGCTCTTCTGCCAGGGGCTACCAAGGCCACGACCTCTAATGCCACTCACTACTTTTGCTCATGGCTGCCATGTCTGAAGCCAAGAACATTGATGTTGGTGTAAGGGTACAACCTTCTGAAGGTGCCAGCGCTCTCTCTGGCCACTGTTCAAACTTCTATCAGCAGTCCAGCAGCTGTGTTGTGCCTTCAGAGTTCGCAAAACAGGACTAATGCTTTCGTTTTTGTACCTCCCTCATGTGACCATTCAGAGAAATCTGTGCAATTCATTCAGTTATTCAACACATACTTACTGAGCACCTGCAATGTACACACTTTGTTCTAGGTTAGGGACATATCAGTGAGCAAAATAGATGAAGTCCTTGCTCTCATAAAACCTACATTCTTCTGTGTGGTGGGGGAGATTATAGTAAACATATGACAAATATTGTACTCAATTTCAATTCCCCTCTCCCTTCAAAAACTTCCTCATTGTTCTTGAATGAAACTTGTGAGTCTTGATGCTTTTTCCTCTAAAGAAAAAAAATGAGTTTTTCTCAGGATGTTCCTGGACCCCTGATATGAATAGACTACTCATGATTGTTCACCCACTCTGAATCCTGGGGTAAACATGATATAAATTAAATTGTGACCCTTGCTATATAATGGACAAAGTGAGGGTTTGAAAGAAAAGAAACTCATGGATTATCTTCTAATTTGTAGAACACACAAACATCACCCAAGATAAAAATACAGATAAACTTGACAATTTAAAGGTGAAACAATTTTAATTTCTCAAATATAATCTATAACCTAGAGAAGACATTGCTGGTTGTTGCTCCAGCGACCTCAACTGTATGGTTTTAGAGCCTTCTTGGGGACATGTGGCAGAATTGCCTTATATGTATAGTTTGAAATGGAGTCTTTCAAAGATATTTCCTGATAGAATATAACTGCTGTATTTAAAAGCCCTAGTTAATGAGACAGCCTCACTTCATGTCACAGACATGTAAGAGAACATCTTCTAAAATAGAACTGTCTGAAGTAGAGCACACTTGTTGACAAGGTCAGCAGAACACAGGAAATAGTCTCTGTGAGATATCTTCAAGCCATCATACTAACCTTTACCAATACTTGCTTAGCTGCCACATACTTGCTCTGCTTGCCCTTGTGAGGGTTCAGAGTGAGATGTCTGCAACAGAGAAGAGTGTCTTGAAGGAACAGGCCTTTTGGTACCTGTTGACAGGGACAGGAGGCAGGGGAATTCTGGGCAGAAGAGGGCAGGTCCCTGGCGAGGACCTCACCCTCAAGCTAGAACCACAGCCCAAAGTGAGAACTTCACATCCCCGCTTTCCCACTTGAATGCTGCCTTTTCCAAAATCACCCATGGCCTACCCTGCCCCCCATTCTGTGCCCATAAAATTCCCAGGCTTTGCTGGCAGAGGGAGAAGAAGAGAAGCAGCTGGATGCCAGAGACTACAGTTGGACCTCAAAGAGAAGCAGCTTGACTTCAAAGGAGCAGTTTGACGGCATTGCTTTGGAGAGGAGTCTGGCTAAGGACGGCTGGACTTTGGGGGAAGATTACCTTCCCACTCTGTCTCCTTTTTAGCTCCCTTTTCCACTGAGAGCCACTTTCATTGGCAATAAAATCCCCTGCATTTACCATCTCCAATTTGTTCGTGTGACCTCTTTCCTCCAGGACGCTGGTCACGAACTCGGGTGCAGGTGCAAAAGGCTGTCACACTGACCCTCCACTGAGCTCTTAACACCTAAACCATCCAAGGATTGCGAAGCTAAAAGAGTACTGACTATAACACTCCTTCTGGGGCTTCAGGGGTCGTGGGCACCCTCCTAGATGCTGCTGCAGATCCAGCATGGAGTTAATTCCTGCTGGTGCCCAAAGCACTCGCCCCGGCTCCTGCACCCGCTCACCTGCATGCTCCCTCCCGCAGAGAGATTGAGTGCAGTGAGTTCGAGTGAATGCAGTTTGCCCCTGATGATGCCTGTGCACTCCAGTTCTTGCCTGCAAATGGGTCAGGGAAAATTTCCTGCTTCACTGTTACCAAAGTCCAGGGACCACCACTCTCTCTCACATCACCTGGTTCAAATTGATCTTTCTGCATTGGCCTCCCAAAGTGTTCTTAGGAGTGAGCCACCATGCCCAGCCTCCTTTGCCAAACACTTTTAATTCCCATTTCTTGATTTGTTTCTTTCTCTAATACACTATACAGACAGTCCCCAAATCTAACAATAGTTACTTACACATGATTTTCTGAATTCATAATGATGCAAAAGCCATGTGCATTCAGTATGCTTCTCAATTTATGATGGGTTTACATCCAAATAAACCCACCTTTAAATTGAAAATGTCATAATTCAACTTATATTATTTTCCACTTACAATGGGTTTATTGGGATGTAGCCCCATCATAAGTCGAGGAGCATGTGTATATTTTACTTTTAAATCTTGTTTATTGTCTGTCTCTCCCAGGGCTTCATGTGATTTTCATGGGCCTTAGGCATATTGCTTCTATGGGACCCTTCCTCTATGTAGAAATGCTAGAATTTTTATTTGAAGACTGTATTCGTATAAAAACAATTCTAGTCCAGGCTGGATTCATTATTTTATATTCTTTTTTTCTTCTGATTTTAAATGAAGTTAAAATTAAAACAATTTTGTGGGACCCTGAAAGTATTATGGGCCCTATGCACTGTGACTAATGAGTAAATCAGCTCCTGAGAGTTCACAACCAGCCTGGGCAACACAGCAAGACCTTGTCTCCACAAAAAATGTTTTAAAAAAATTATCCAGGTGTGGTGGTGCATGCCTATAGTCCCAGCTACTCAGGAAGCTGAGACGGGAGGGTTGCTTGAGCCTGGAGTGTCAAGCCTGCAGTGAGCTGTGATTGTGCCACTACACTGCAATCTAAGTGACAGAGTGAGAACCTGTCTCAAAAAAAGAAAAAGTGTTAGGGGAAGGACAGTTGAAGTTTCAGATAGGATATCTCAGGAGCAAGGTTTCCTGAGCAGGTGACTCCTGAGTAAAGAGCTAGAAGAGGGAGGGATATGCGGTGTTCGAAATGTAGACAGAGATTGTTCTTGTAAGAAGGATCAGCAGGTGCTTAGGCCCTGAGGCAAGAAGGCACTTACTATGTGAATGACAGTGAGGAGGCCAGTGTGACTAGAATGTATGGACAAGGAGACAAACAAAGGGAAGAGTAGTAAGAGATGAGGTCAGAGAGTTGACTGAAGGCCAGACCACTGGGATTGTGTAAGGTTACAGGAAGAACTTTGACTTATATTTTGACCTGATTTATATTTTAAAGAGATCTCTCTAGGTATTGCATTTATTTTGAAGAGAATAAATTGAAGGAGGCACAAGCACAAGGTGAAAGACCAGTTAATAGACCACAGTAACAATCCAAGTGAGTAATAATGGTGACTTGAACCAGTGGAGTTGCAGTGGGAGTGGTGAGAAGTGGATGGATTCTGTAACTATTTTCAATGTAGTGGTAACAGTCTTTGCTGATGGGTTGAATGAGTGTTGTGAGAGAAAAGGAAGGGTCAAAGATGAATACAAGTGTTTTGGCCTGAGCAAAAGAATGGGTGGAGTTACCATTGATTGAGATGGGGGAAGACTGAGGGAGGGAGAGAGGGAGGAGGTAGGTTGGATGAGAAGAGCAAGTTCTCAATTAAAAATGCAGATGCCCATGCTGTAAAAGCAACTGAAGATGTTCTCACTAGAAATATACTTCTGGGAGTCATCAGTTTGATCTCATTCAGTCATCAATTGAATATCATCAGGTGATGGTATTCAGTGCCTTGGGATGGGAAGAGATCACTGAGAGAGTAAGTCCAGAGAGTTGCAATGTCTTTTAAATTTTTGTATGTTCAACAACTAACTCAGTACTTGACTTCCAATACCTATTACTAATTGAATGAAGATGTTTGTACTTGTCCCCCTAGGAGGAAGCTATGCACATAATTTCCAAACTAGTTACTGAGGAAGTGTTAAGCCCCCTTGTTATATACACGTAGCTCCCTGATATTTTTCTTGGGACATTTATTTCAGTTTGCACTTCTATGTTTATCTGGATGATTATTTAAGTTATAGCTCTCCACCTAAGCCTTATGAGGGTAAAGACCATATCCTCTATTCTTCTTCCCACTGACATCCAGCACAGCGTCTAAAATATAATGGTTAACTTGTTGAGCAAAAAAAAAAAAAAAACGGAAAATACTTTTTTATATTAAAGTCATTTTATTTGGACTTATCTATTGAATAAACTTGCTTGGACTCTTAAAGTCTACTTTTTTAAAAAAAACAAAATCTAATGGGGAAAACCACAATAACCTAAATCTTCATTTTCAACTAGTAGCATTAAGTTAATACTCCTTCCTTATCTGCTCATCTGCCCAGACCAATCATCAATAGATAGAGAGTTCACCACATACTCTCCTTACAAAGTCTGTGTATAACCTCACACCCTTCCCAGACACTGTCTCAGTTGCCCACTACCACATCATCTGATTGGTACTCATGACAAAACTCATCTGCTATCCTTTACCTAAATCACATCAGGTGACCTCAAATCAGCTTTATGCCCCCATTGGGCTAAATCTATAAAAATAATATCATATTTATGGATATTATAACTGCAAAGTCAACATGGCTAATTAGCACCCACATCCAGCAACTCCTTGTTGTTCCTGCCGAAAGGAAAGCCTTTGCTATCATTGGGCCAGCTGTCACTTAGTAATAGTTGGTCTATGATGCTACTGCAGCAGATGCTTCCCAGCCCTCCCTCCCCACAAATAAAACCCACTACTTAGTGAAGGGTTCTTTGGTGTCTAGCTTTTATAGTTCAGAATTTCTCTTCAGTCTTAGAATGTTATTACATTTCAAAAAAACCATTCTTTCTGAGATGTCTGTATATTTCTCTGATATCATGATTTCCTATAGCATTAGCTCTCATAAGTTTTTCACCCAAACTAGCAAGGGTATTGCTGGTCCTTTGCAACCCCCAAACTACAGGATCCTTTCTAGCCTCCATTCATTTCAAATGATTCCAGCCCTGAGAAATCAAATAAGAAGACTAGAATTTGGATGAGAGAGTTTGAGTGCTCTACAGTGCAAGGCTTCAAGGGGTTGGGAGAATCTGATTTGAAAAGCATGTCTGGGTGGAGGATGCTAGTGGTGCTTTTGAGGTCTGCTCAAGCAAAAGATGGTATGAGGCCCCAAGTTCTGGAGCAATGTGTGCTTGCTCTTTTTGTTATTTTAATTACTACTGATTGTGCATTTTCTTTGTGCTTAATAATTGTATAGATTTTATTATTCAATTCCTTCACAAATCCTATAATGCAGGTATTATCATTTTTCCCCATTTTACAGATGAGGAAACTGGGCACTAAGTTATATACTTCAAAAAGTCTCATAGCTAGCAGATGGTATAACCAATATTTGAATCTGTATCTCAGAATTTGTCCACTTAACTGTTTCCTTATTTTTGCCTCTTGGTGTTCAGTACCAAAGAGGCTTGCTACTGAAGCCATACCTTAGGGCATAAGGATTGGAAAAGACTTGAAAGATACGCAATTCCTATTTTCCTATTTTTATCTGAGGCTAGGCTTACATCCCCAGATAAAATGGGAAAGAACTGAACTGTCTTGATTACTGCTGTTTCCAATGCCTAGGCAATGTTTGGTGTACAGGTGCTAGACAAATATTAGTGGAAGGAATACATGATTTGGAATGAGAAGTTCAAAGCCATCATCACATAGTCTTTTTTCCTAGCACCAATATTTCCATAAATATTTAAAAACCTCATGAAAGTCCGTAAAGACTTTCATGACGTTTTTAAAAAGAAATGGCATTCAGTGGCTATCTGTGGTTCTCTAATGTCGTGGTGCTCAGGGTGGATCTTTGCAGAGCACACTGTCAGAGGACCCCTGTTTATCAACTTTTTTTTTTTTTTTAGAGACAGGGTCTTGCTCCTGTCACCCAGGCTGGAGTGCAGTTGCATGATCATAACTCACTACACACTCGAACTCCTGGGCTCAAGTGATCCTTCCGCCTAAGCTTCCCAAGTAGCTAGGACTAAAGGAGTGTGCCACCACATGTGGCTTGTTTATTAACTTCTTGAGTGATCCCTGTGATTTTAATTGGAAAAGTTCCCTTTGCTTTCTACTCTAAACTTCAGCACACTACACTGATGATGCTTAAACAGCTGCTAGTTTCCACTCTAGAGGAGTCTACTTTTCAGCGATGAGCAGGAGAATGCCAATAAATAGGGCTGAAGCAGGGTTCCTGGAATAAGGTGTGAGACTCAGCTTATCCTTATGGGATGTGTCAGGTGAATCATAGGGCCGTCATGGAACTCCTTGCTCACCTACGCTCCTGAGAGTTTAGAAGATGTCCTCCATATCATTAGTTACAGGACCTATCTGTATATAATTACTTCCTGGTTTTGACGTAGATGACCCAAATGACCAAAATCTTCTGTCATGATCAGGCCGTCTTCCAGTGTTTTAGTCAGTTTTGCTGATAGGCGATATTTAGATAAGCCTTTTAAAACCAGTCATCTTATCTAAACTTTTAAGCTCTGTGCTACCTAAATATATGTCCAGCCCATCCCTTGTGTTAGTTTACTACTGGGCAAATATTCATAAAACAATGAAAAAGAGTTCTATATTGTACTATTGAAAACCATACTTGAAGCTAACCCCATATCCTTGATTACCCATTCCGCTGTCCTGATGGATCTCTTCCCTATCTTCCCTTTAGTTACCAGAAAAGTCCCCTAGAGTAATGGTTTTCAACTGGAGGGAATTTTGCCATCAGGGGACATTTGGCAATGTCTGGAGACATTTTTGGTTGCCACAACTTGGAGGATGCTATGGGAATCAGAGACCAGAGATGCTGCTAAACATCCTTCAATACACAGGGCAGCCCCACAACAAAAATGATCCTTCTCAAAATGTCGACAGTGCTGCTGTTGAGAAACTTCACTCTAGATTATGGGGGATGTTAATATCATGGGGGATCACAATAAGGACATCTCTTGTTTACACTTATCAAATTTAATTTTATTGACATTAAAATAATAAACCTGGTATTTATAAATAGGTAGAGGAAAACACACTGTCTTAACAGAAATGATAAAGATAAATTATAAAGCACAACTTCGTGCTAGCCACTCTATTCGGTCCTTTATGTGTATCTTCATCTCATCCTTACAATTCTATGAAAGAAGTATTGCTCTTTTCCCCGTTTTACAGGAAGGTAACTGCAGTTCATAGGTGAATAAATGTGCTTAAGTCCACATGGATACAAAGGAGTAGAGCCAGGATTTGGATCCCAGTATGACTACAAAGTCCACGTTCTTTCCCCTATAGCTTCAGAACGATCTTTTTCCATTTGGAAGGAGAGCACAGAAATAAAATGCTCAAAAATTTCAATCTCATCTTCGATGACTTTTCTTATTTCCTTTCAATTAATTCACTTGACCAGAAATTCCTGTTCCACAGCAAGTCAGGCAGAGCAGCCCATCCCCTGACTCATTTCCACAGTTTGCAGCCTGCTGTCTCCAGCTTGCCTCTCAAGCACAATCCTCCCATGCATGGGAAAGCTGTGGTGCACTGGAGACATCACACTGTTCTTGTGGTTTGTGGCCAAACTCCCTCACTGAGCCTCCCTTTTAACTGTTTCCTGGCTCGTTTGTGAATGATTTTGTGGCCTTTTCCCCCAGAAAATATCAAAGACTACCATTTTGATGTTCCCTGGTGAAGGCAGTGGCCTTTTTTTCAATTTTCTCATTTATCTAATATTGCTGGGATAATGTTTAGCCAAGCCCTACCCACCCCATTTCAGAATATCTGCTTAGCTAGGTCTAAATATGTATATAAAACTTTTGAGTCACTTTAATACTGTACCATAAGGATGTATACTCTTTTACACTATTATAAATATTTCTTCTGGTTTTCTCAGTATGAGCAGCCAGGGCTAATACTTCAGGGAGATCCTTCTCTTCTCCTTAAACTGAAATCATGATTCCTGTGCTGTGGGGCCTTGAAGATGATGAAATGAAGTTCATTAAATTATCTAGCTGTGACCTCCTAAGAACAAAAGATTGACTACTTGGCAAAACAATTTAATTGAAATCCTCATCCACATCTCAAAATAAATTTTACTAAGCTCAGTGATGTATAGAAATAAAACATTCTTTTTTTTTTTTTTTTTTGAGATGGAATTTCATTCTTGTTGCCCAGGCTGGAGTGCAATGGTGCAATATTGGCTCACTGAAACCTCCGCCTCCCGGGTTCAAGTCATTCTCTTGTCTCAGTCTCTCTAGTAGCTGGATTACAGGCAGATGCCATGATGCCCAGCTAATTTTTGTATTTTTAATAGAGACAGGGTTTCACCATGTTGGTCAAGGCTGGTTTCCAACTCCTGACCTCAGGTGATCCACCTGCCGAGACCCCCCCAAAGTGCTGGGATTATAGGCGTGAGCCACCACGTCTGGCCAACATTCTTAATACTAGATGAAAATATGGGTGAGTATTCATTTTATCTCTAGATGAAGAAAGACTTTTATGTACAAAAGCAATGAAAATATTCTCAAAGGAATAGAGCAATCAGTTGAAGAACCAAAGCATAGTAGACCTTTCTTTATAAAAATTAGAAATAAAATTAGAAGTCAGCCATGGAGGTAGAGATTGAAAGGGGGAAGGGGAGGTGTCTGGGTCTAGGATGCTGATAGTGCTGTGTTTGTTGATCTGGGTTTGATTGCATGATAGCTACACTTCTCACTGAGCAGTACACTTATTTTATATTCATACATACCTATATAGTCAATAAAAAGTCAAAGGCAAACAGGTAAAAATATATTTCATGGGTGTGACAGATAAATGTAAAATAATAATGAAATTTTAATAATAAAAAAATTGACCATGGACAATATAAATGACTAATAAACACCAAAAGAGTTTAAAATGTAATTATTTCTAAAAATAAAAGCAATGTATGCATATGATTAAAAACTCAACAATACAGAACAACAGAAGGAAAATTAAGTTTACCTCATTCTTCCTTGACTCAGTCTTGCTCTTCTGGAAGAAATCATTATGAACAGGTTCTTCTTCATTCTTCCAGAAAATTTCTATGTATATTAATAATGGAATTATACTATGGTAATGTTCATATTATTATCCTTCCTGAAAATGTCTATGCATATACATATATATTTAAACCAAATGAAATCATACTGTACTGCATATTCAATTACTTTTTTTTTTAGCTGAACAATGTCTTCTGAAGGTTGTTGCTTATTAGCACATGAAATTCTACCTCAATTTTTTTATGGCTTCAGATTATTTCAGTATATCATGATCTAGTTAAATATTTCTCTATTAATGCACATTTTTTAGGCTGGTTTTTGTTTTTGTTTTGTGATTACAAGCAATGTTGCAATTAAAATTTCTACATTTATCTTTGGATATTCATTTTAAAAATTGTCAGAAAAATTCTTAGAAATGGAATTGCTGAGTCAAAGGGAGTTATATGTATATAAACATACACACCTTTTGCATTTTGCAAAATATTTTTCAAATTGCTCTCCATTACAATTATTTGTCCATTAAAAAATTTTAAAAAGACAGGAAAAAATTGTTCTCTAAGGAGTTTGCTCCAAAATTTTGTTCTGCGAAAGTGCTGTCTTACCATACCTTTCCAAACATTAGTTATCTGCAATTTTATTATTTATTTACATATTTTCATTTTTTAGAGACGAGGATCTCACTCTGTCACCCAGGCTAGAGTGCAGGCTAAACTTTTTTTAAAAATTTTTTTGTAGAGACACGGTTTTGCTATATTGATCAGGTTGGTCTGAAACTCCAGGCCAAGGGCAATTCTTCTGACTTAGTCTTTTGAGTTGTTGGGATTACGGGCGTGAGCCACTGTGCCCAGCTCAATTTTATTAATCTTTGACAGTCTAATAGGTTAAAAATGGCTTTTTATTTTAATTTGCATTTTGTAATCACATGCAAAGTTGAGCATTTATGAAGAAATATTTAACCTCAGAACTTGAGCAGAGTGAGGAGGTTGTCCATGATGGAGTGGGCTGGGGAGAGAAGAGGGAGCAGCATTGAATGGAGCCCAGCTGGGTACATCACTGACATATGGGGAGTATTTAAAGCCACAGCAGTGGATGAGAGGACCATGGTGAGAGAAAGAAGAGAGAAAAGGCTGAGGATGGAATCTGCCTTTGGTTTTAACCTGACCACAGCTTCTCTAAAACCAAGATATCCATTTCTTTCTTATCCTCACTAGGACCTCCCATCTCACCTAATTTTCTGACAAATGACCCGCCAATAATGTTTGGGGCTATTTCACAGGTGATGGGGGTCAGTTCATAGGTTTGACTTTTGCTCTAGGAGCAAGGAATTGCTAACATTCTCCTTTCAGGTCCCTAGTGGTTTTGATTCCATTTGATTTCTGGCTCAACAGCTATGGCTTTGTAGAGAGGCCCTCACCTCTCCCCTCATACTTATCTGCATCCCTTTGAATTTTCCCAGCCTCTCAGAGCAGCTCTGCGGCTGAGAAACAAAGCTGGTGGATATTCTCACCAGTTCCACAGCCTGTTGCCAGAGGACTGCTCTAATTTGGTATCTGGCTCCAGCTCACCATCCTCTGACCTTCTTGGATTCAGCTGGGACTCTGATTTCCTTGGTTCTACATTGGCTATTGCTACCACTCTGGCTCTGAGTGGAGCTTCCTCAGTCTGCCTCTCACCCTCCTACTGCTGCCGAAGGATACATTTCTGAAAATGTGCTGCAGATGTGAATATTTTCTGCAAGTGCCTGTGGCTGACCCAGGCTACTGACGCAGTCAGCCTGCTCAGCACTGCTTCTCTGGAACAAACCCTTGACCCCTCTTCCTTTCTCTCAACTTGGACTTTCAGCCCTTTCTATCCCACTTTATCCTGAAGCTCTGCTTGGCTGGCTTAGCTGTTAATTTTTTTTTTTTTTTAATTCCATAGCTTTAACTCTTCTAAGAATTCTGTCATTGTCTCTTTTGATAATTAAGTACTCTCCACCAATGTAGTCCCCTAGGAGGGGAGGGGTTCAGGAGAGAGGAGAAAAAAACAGAAGAGAATTAACATGAATTAAGCAAAGATTCTGGGCCAGGCACCAAAGCTAAGGAGCTTCATACGTTATCTCTTTAATCTCCTCAAAACTTTGAGAATGGATCATTGTTAGCTCATTTTACAAACAGGAAAATGAAAGATTTGAAAGGTAAGATTATTGGACTCTAATCATTCAATAGAAAGAATTGAAATTCAGCTAATATAAATGTAAAGGCTGTTCTATATTTAGTGTGTGAGGAAGCTTCATTTTCCTTAAGTTGGACGATATATTTCTATTATGGCAGACCAAAACCCCAGTGGATGCTTTGGTTTTGTTTGTTTTTGCTTCTGTAACCATGTCAGATTATAAAACTGTTTGGATTTTGTGAAGTCCCTTAAAACATTTTTACATGAGTGGAATCATCCTGAGAGTATTGTTTTTCAGCATTAAGCCTATTGCATTTATTGCTGGCCAATGCCATACATGTTCTTCCACATGGGCATTTGCACAGCTGCCTGTATCCACTCTGTACTCACTGCATTTGGACTTTACGGTTATCTGCATCACAACCATTTTATTAGTTTATGCTCTGATAATTTCTTGTCTTTGGGAATTTTTTTTTAAATTTCAAAAGTTTTAAAATGGCAATATAATTTGCTAAGCAAAAATAGCATTTTAGTATAGTTTCATTTTGGATAGGCTCTAATTATGAATGAGATTAAGCATCTTTTGACTACTACGTAAAAGCCATTTGTAGGTCCCTCTTGTGAATGACACTCATTTTCTTTGTTCATTTTTCTAGTGGATCATTGGTCTATTCTTACTGATTCACAGAAATTCTTCATATATATATTGAGGAAATTAGCGCTTGTGATAAGGGTTGCAAACATTTCTCCCAGTTTGTTGTTTGTGTTTTGAACTTTATATTTTAGGATACACAGAACTTTCAATTTTTATGTTGTCCAATTTATCATTTTTTGAGAGTTTTATAACAGACTTAAAAAGCATTTTCCCTACTTAAAATTGTAAGGAGATCTTTTCATGTTTTCCTCTAGTATTTTTACACATTTCTTTTAAAACTATCATCATTTTGTCATGACTTTGTGATAGACTCTTAATGAATCTCCCTGCCTACAACTTCAGGACCGCCTGAATCCATCTTTCCCCTGGCGGCCACCATGATCTTTAGAATGCAAGTTGGATCCTTCTTACTTTCCTTTTCAAAGTAGTTCATGGTTTTCATTATCCACAGATTAAGACCAGCTCCTTAACATGGTGCACCCAATGATATGATTGTTATTATTTCTTCCCTGTTCTCTCTTACTTCTATGACTATTCACAAGATGCTCCTTTTGTCTGGAAGCTTCAGCTATATGCCATCTCAAGTTCCATCTTCCTGGAAAACCCTTGTAAATCCACCACTGTTAGGCTTAGCCATCATCTCCTTGATGAAGCCTATCCCTGACCTCTGCCCAAGGTAAGTCTTTCCTTGTCTGAGCTCCAGAACTCCGTATGTACTTCTATTGTATGTTCCTCATGTGGTGGCGTTAGCTGGTTTACTTTTCTTCTCTATCATCAGGGCAGGGCTGTGTTTTATTAATATTTGCACTCCCAGTACAGGCACAGATTTTGGAACATAGCAACAGCTCAACGGTGGTTTGCTGGAATGAATGAGGTTCCTTGTTTTGTTTCAGTATTATTCAAAGTAGGATTAGGAAACACTTACATCAGAATAACCTAGGGTACTTATTTTGAAAAATGGAAATTATTGGACCCACCCTAGATACACCACATCAGACTCTCTAGGGAATGAAGCTCAGGAATCCTCATTTTTTTTACTAAACTCCATACATGATTTTTACACATACTGAAGTTCGAAAACTACTCTTACTCCTATGCCTACAAAGGGCTTTTAAACATGACACCTTAGAATGGAGGACCATTTGGAGAGAAGTACTAGGTATTAGGGTGCAAGGGAAGTGAAATAAATTTATGGTATGTCCATAAAATGGAATATTACACATGTGTTAGAATTTATAAGCTAGGTATATTTTCTCTTATGGACGTTCTCCAAGAGCTGTTGTTAATTGAAAAAAAAAAAAGAAGGAAAAAACAGGACCATATGGTTATACATATGCTCAGAAAACCTTCTGGAAGATTACATAGAGAACTGTTAAAAATGCTTATCCCTAGGGAGTGAGATTGGGGTGGCTGGAAAGTTGTAAGCTTGTATTGTTATCTGTGCTATTGTATACTCTTTAAACTTTTTCACGTACCTGCTTCACTTTATTTTTTTTTTTGAGACGGAGTCTCACTCTGTCGCCCAGGCTGGAGTGCAGTGGCACGATCTCGGCTCACTGCAAGCTCCGCCTCCCGGGTTCATGCCATTATCCTGCCTCAGCCTTCTGAGTAGCTGGGACTACAGGCCCACCACCACGCCCGGCTAATTCTTTTTGGATTTTTAGAGAGACGGGGTTTCACCATGTTAGCCAGGATGGTCTCAATCTCTTGACCTCGTGATCCACCTGCCTCGGCCTCCCGAAGTGCTGGGATTACAGGCGTGAGCCACCACACCCGGCCTTCACTTTTATATTATTTAAACTTAAAGTCTTTCTTGTTGTATCACATATTAAAGCAAAAAAGTAAAAAAGTAATAAGGTAATAAGTTGCTTTTCTATATCTACTTTTACAGTGTAATAGAAGATAATAAAATTTTTATGTATCTTCAGAGTTGGCAAACAAGTAATTCAGTGAAAGAAGTTCAGGCTGTGGAAATCCAAAGACCTAGGTTTTTTAAAAAAGATTGACATGAAATTCACGTGACATAAGTGTAACCATTTTATTTTATTTTTATTTTTTTATTTTTTTTAGAGATGGGGGTCTTGCTATGTTGCCTAGGCTGGTGTATAGTGGCTATTTACAGGCACAGTCATAGCCTCAGCCTTCCAAGTAGCTGGTACTACAGGTGCGGCCAACATGCCTCGCTAAGCTGAACCATTTTAAAGTAAGCAATTCAGTTTGTGTTGTGCAACCAACACCTTTATCTAGTTCCAAAATATTTTCATCACCAGTTTCATTATCAGCATTTTTATGGGCAGCTAATAATCTGTGTTCTGTCTCTATCCTGAGTATTCATGTGAATGAAATCATTTAATGTGACCCCTTGTGTCTGGCGTCTTTCACTTAGCATAATGTTTTCGAGGTTCATCCACATTGTAGCATGTCCCAGCACTTTATTCCTTCTTTGATGAGTTATATCTTATTGTACAGTTATAAGACTTGGTTTTGAGACCAGACTCCACTTAGTTCTTGCCTTGAGGTGGGCAAGACACTAACCTTTCTGAGCCTCAATTTCCTGAACTGTAAAATAGGGGTGGTAACAAGAATTTGGATACCTGTATCACAAAATTGTGTGTATGAAATGGAGGACTGCACATGAAAATGCCTGCTACATGATCAGGCCAAACAGAATGTGCTGGACCCAGATCCAGACCCAGACCCACTCCCAGACCCAACCACTGGAGTGGAGCTGGAGGCAAGGGCTGCAGGCAGCAGGCCCGGCTGCAGGCTACAGAAAGAACTCTAGCTAGGAGAAAGTGAAGCGCTGAGGATGGTCATCTATGCAAATTGTCAGCAAGAGGGAAGCTTGCCAAGAGAGAAAGGCAGTGTCTCCTTGATGGCTGGAACTCAGTCTCAGGGCATCTAGGCATCCCCGAAATCTGAGATTTCTGTGAGGAAACAGTTCCTTTTGGGGCTTAGGGACTGGTCTGTTATCTCAGTGAGGACAGGCAGGAGTGGTCATCCAAGTCGGATTTCTGAATCTAAGGAAGCCGACTAGCAACAGGCATCCAGACATGAGGGAATTAAGTGGACCTCAGCAATTAGAATAGGGGTCCCAAGTCAGTCTGGCCCTAAGATTCACTTGTGCTGCATTGTTGAACTAGGGTTTACTTTCTGTCCAGCGATAAGATTGATCCCAAAGACTCCCTCCTTAGGAGGGAAAGGGGAGCCATCAGTGGTGAGGCAAGGGCATACATGAGTGACATTTTGCAGAGATTCAAGTGATATGTGGTCATGGCTTTATTTCTGTTCCTCATAATTCTATATGTGATAGAATTGGTTCATATAACAACCTATATAAGTTGGTACAAAAGTAATTGTGGTTTTTGCATTATTGAAATTTGCCATTTGACACTGGAATACATTCTTAAGTAAATGTGGCTATGTTATACATCATTCTAATGCATATTTCTCATTTTTTTTTGCTAATGACTTATTACTTGCTGTTTATTTTATATTTATTTTAGACTATGGAAATAATGTTAGACAAAAAGCAAATTCAAACGATTTTCTTATTCAAATTCAAAATGGGTCATAAAATAGCAGAGACAACTCGCAACATCAAAAATGCATTTGGCCCAGGAACTGCTAATGAAGAAATGTACAGTGCAGTGGTGGTTCAAGAAGTTTTGCAAAGCAGAAGAGAGCCTTGAAGATGAGGAGCATAGTGGCCAGCCATCAGAAGTTGACAACAACCAACTGAGAGCACTCATGGAAGCTGATCCTCTTACAAACACATGAGAAGTTGCCCAAGAACTCAACGTCAACCATTCTATGGTTGTTCATCATTGAAGCAGATGGAAAGGCAAAGAAGCTCGATAAATGGGTGCCTCACGAGCTCAGCAAACATAAAATAAAACCATCATTTTGAAGTATCATCTCTTAGTCTACACAACAATAACGAACCATTTCTCCATCGGATTGTGCAATGAAAAGTGAATTTTGTATGACAACTGGTGATGACCAGCTCAGTGATTGGATCAAGAAAGAAGCTCCAAAGTCCCAAAGCCAAACTTGTACCAAAAAAGGTCATGGTCACTGGGATCTGCTGCCGGTTATGATCCTCTACAGCTTTCTGAATCCCAGTGAAACCATTACATCTGAGAAGCATGCTCAGCAAATCGATGAGATGCACTGAAAACCGCAATGCCTGCAGCCGGCATTGGTCAACAGAAAGGGCCCAATTCACCACGACAATGCTTGACGGCACATCACACAACCAATGCTTCAAAAGTTGAATGAATTGGGCTACAAAGTTTTGCCTCATCCACCATATTCACTTGATCTCTCGCCAACCAGCTACCACTTCTTCAAGCATCTCAACAACTTTTTGCAGGGATAATGCTTCCACAACCAGCAGGATGCAAAAAATGCTTTCCAAGAGTTTGTCGAATCCCAAAGCTCGAATTTTTATACTGCAGGAATAAACAAACTTATTTCTTGTTGGCAAAAATCTGTTGATTGTAATGGTTCCTATTTTGAGTAATAAAGATGTGTTTGAGCCCAGTTATAACGATTTAAAATTCACGGTCCAAAACTGCAATTACTTTTGCACCAACCTTAGATAGTGACTCCATAACATAACAATAGACAGTTCAGTCATCAAGAGTAGGTCAAACTGGTTATTCAAAAAACAAACTCACTTAAGTATTTTTCCATTTTTCAGCTGGCACTTTTATAAGTACAATCATAGAATAATAATAAAATAATAATTACATAATAATTATAATTAATTAAATAATAATTAAATTAAATTAAAATTATAATTAATTAAATAGTAATAAATAAAAGCCTGTAATTCTTTTAGATCATCTAACAGCTTATGTGATTTGAGAATAGCAATGATTTGTACTGATTCCCCAAAATTCACAAACTCATCATCAGAAGGGGGAGAAGTTGGGTGAAAGGGAGGTACTGACTTGTTTCGAGAATCATGTGATGAATAGCTCCTTTGCTTCCAGGATTACTCTTCTGTCACTGGATGAGATGTCTGCAATGGAATTTGCTGACAAAGGACAACTTTGCTTTTATGTGCCTTTGCTTATGGGATGGTTAATAATCTGTGCCTGCCTCCTCATTCAGCCGTTACAAGACTGCTCAGGGGACTCTGAAACAGAAGGCCTCTGTGCTCCCCTCTGTTTAATTATAGTCTGCATTCCCAGAGAAATGAAGTGAGCCTTCTGACTTAGAACAACCTTGTGACCACAGCCTTGACCCTTTGTCCTACGTGGTGCCACTTCTCCGTTAATCATATTGTGCTTACTCAGCTGTCTGGGGTACAGGTGTTCTTAGCTTAGCTGCATACATAGAGTTGAATTAGAGATGGTCAGCTTAGCTACAGACTCCCCTTCAGTTCACAAGCTTGCTTTTTCAGTTCTAATGTCCAAGATAACTGCATCCTCCACCTCTTAAACCTACTCATTCTCTGACGCCCCCAGCCTCTTGAGATTGAGTTTAATAACGATGACAACTATTGTCAAAACACCTACTGTGGGCTAGATATGTCCATCACAACTGTTATACCTTTTTGACAGCTTCCTATGTGCCAGCCATTATTCTAGACACTTTACATATATTATCTCCTTTGATTTTCCCAACAACTCTATGTGTAGATACTATGATTAGTTCCATATTAAAGATGATAAAACCAGAGACCAGGGAGGTTTAGTAACTTTCCCAAGGTAACATGCCTATTAAGCATTAAATGGGAACTTACATAGTCTGGTTTCAAAAGCTGTACTCTGGACTGCTACCCTATACTTTTTCTGCTTTAGAAGCACTATCTCTAATTATTCTTCATTCATTCAACAAATATGTCTTGAGCATCTACTATGAGCCAGAACAAATCCTTGGTGCTAGAATACAAATGATCAGAATAGAAAGAAATCCTTGTCTACATGGAGCTTCTGTTCTAGTTGTAGAAATAGAAAATAGCAAGCATAAGTAAGTAAAATATATTGTATGTTAGAGTCTTAGTCTGTTCAGGCTGCTATAACAAAATATCATAGACCAAATGGCTTGTAAACAACAGAAATGTATTCCTCATGGTTAAAGAGGCTGGGAGTTTCAAGATCAAGGTGCCAGCAGATTTGTTGTGTGGTGAGAGCCAGCTTTCTGGTTCGCAAATGGTGTTTTCTTGCTGTGTTGTCACATGATGGAAGGGCCGAGGCTTCTCTCTGGGGTTTCTTGTGTAAGGACACTAATCCCATCCATGAGGGCTCATTACATAATCACCTCCCAGAGGCCCCACCTCCTAATGCCATTACATTAGGGGTTAGGGTTTCAACATATGAATTGTGGGGAGGACACACTAGGTTCATTGCAGTTAACTAGTGATAACTGCTAAGAGGAAAAACCAATGCAGAGAAGGTATCTGGGAGAAGGAAAGGTTGAACTTTTTGGCAGAATACGAAAGACAGATCCTAACTAAGAGGGTGATATTTGAGTACAGAAAACCAAACAGAGACCTGGAGAAGAGCACTCCCGGCAGACAGTAGAGTCAGTGCCAAGGTCCTGAAGTAGAAGCGTGCTTGGTGTTTTTGAAACATAGCAAGGAAACCTGTGGAGCTGGTCTGTGGTGAGTGAGGGGAGAGAAGCAGAATAAGAGGTCAGAGACCTAACAAGAGATCAGATCTGGTAGGACTATGGTAGTAAGGACTTGGGCTTTTACTCTAAGTGAGATGGAAGAGCCCCTCTGAATCTCACAGATTGATGCGATCTGACAGGCTGATGGGCAGGAAATAGACTGGAGGGAGAGCAGCAGTGAAGGCAGGGAGAGCATTCAGGAGCTTTGCATTAATCCAGTGAGGGCTGACGGTGGCTTGGGCCACAGTATATAAGATAGTCATCGTTATTATTTTCAGAGGTGTTCTTATTTCAGTTTTACAGGTTAAGAAACTGAGACTCGTCCGGGCACGGTGGCTCACGCCTGCAATCCCAGCACTTTCGGAGGCCGAGGCAGGCGGATCACGAAGTCAGGAGATTGAGACCATCCTGGCTAACACGGTGAAAACCCGTCTCTACTAAAAATACAAAAAATTAGCCAGGTGTGGTGGTGGGCACCTGTAGTCCCAGCTACTCGGGAGGCTGAGGCAGGAGAATGGCGTGAACCCGGGAGGGGGAGCTTGCAGTGAGCCGAGATGGCACCACTGCACGCTCCAGACTGGGCCACAGAGTGAGACTCCATCTCAAAAAAAAAAAAAAAAAGGAACTGAGACTCAAAGAGGTTATGTAACCAGACCAAAGTAAACTAGCCAGTGAGAGCAGCATGGGGAGTCCAATTCTGATTTTCCTGAGTCCATGTTTTTTTCTCTGCTGCACCAAGAATCTTTGAAGTACAGTCCTCAGTTCGAAGTCAAAACTAAATTCTCTCTGGGATGCTGAGGATAAAGATCCCTTGAATTTTGATGAATGATGTCTCCCAATTCATTGACCTATTTATTAATTCATCCATCAACTCACACCTCTAGGGAGAGTTGCTATTGAATGTTTCCTGCATCAACTCAGGACTGGGATGGGAATTGGGAAAGGGCAGTGGATATATGGTGGTGGGATATGAGTAAGCCATGACAGAGGGAATTGGGAAGGCAGGAACTAGAACGTCAGAGAAGACATGACAATATCTTTATGCACATTTCCTAGATTTGGGGGCCTAAGTGTCCAACTTGCCCCCTCACCTCATGTCATCTCATCAAGCAACTTTGAATTAATACTTTCAAAATAAAAACATGTCAATTTTTTTTCTCCTAATGATCAAAGGATTACCTGGGACTGGGCTCAGTATGGTGGATTGAGCCCATCTTCGTGCCTCCCACTCACCCCAGTGACAGATGATGTCTCTAACTAGAAAATGAGAAGGGGTGCTGGTGTGTTCTGTAGACCGGAAGTGGTGAGAAAGTCCTAAAAGATGGGAAACAAATAAGGGAGAACTACAGTCCCAAACTTGCTGCCAAAGATGGGAGTGGCTTTAGCGGGGTCTTAGAAGGAGGGAATACATGGAGCAGGACGGAGCTCTGTTGACATGGTCAGAGGAAGAACTGGGTACCAGAGTGGGAGCAGCTAGGTGCTGTGCCAAGCAGGGGCCAGGACAGGCACCTCCCCAGGAGGAGCTGTATGTGGAAGCCCCAGAGGCAGAGCAGATATCCTGGTGGCTGCCATGCCAGGAGAAACCGGGAGCCCAGAGGCCGACTCCTGAGAGAGTCTGGAAGCGCATTCTGCTTGTCTCTCACCATCTCAGAAGACAGGTTGTGATAAAACCTGAGTTTTTTAAATAGGCTTTTTGGCACCATCTAATTTTTCTAATGTATGTGAAAGTATTACTTGGATAAAAATCAAACTTAAATGTCTATAAATTTTATAAGTAGGGTTAACCACTAGAAAAGACATATGAAATAAAAGAAAGAAGGTTTTATTTACTGAGTAAAAGGATGTGAAGAGAAAATATGAGAAAGCATAGTAGAAAGAAGACAAAATATAATGGTCATAAAGTCCAAAAATATCAATAATCAATAATATTAAAAGACAAACACTTCTAGATTGGAACAATAAAATTTCACCATGAAATAACTCAGAAAAGTATAAAATAAAGAATTGGCAATAGATATATCAGGTGAATGTAACAAAAAAGCAGGTATAAAAATATTTGTATCATACAAAATGAAATCCAAGTTAAGAACGTTAAAAGGGGCTGGGCGCGGTGGCTCACGCCTGTAATCTCAGCACTTTGGGAAGCCGAGGTAGGTGGATCACTTGCAATCAGGAGTTTGAGACCAGCCTGGCCAACATGGTGAAACCTCATCTCTACTAAAAATACAAAAATTAGCCGGAGGTGGCGGTGCCAGTGTGTGGTCCCAGCTACTTGGGAGGCTGAGGT
This sequence comes from Homo sapiens, assembly GCF_000001405.40. Lineage (NCBI taxonomy): Eukaryota > Metazoa > Chordata > Mammalia > Primates > Hominidae > Homo > Homo sapiens. Next base: position 110,375,349 of record NC_000004.12, read on the forward strand.
GGGAGGATCACTTGAGCCTGGGAGGTCAAGGCTGCAGTGAGCCATGTTCACACCACTGTACTCCAGCCTGGGTGACAAAGTGAGACCCTGTCTCAAAAAAAAAATAAAAAAATAAAAAAATAAAAATGGGGGTAAAGATCTCAAACCTACTTATTTTGCAGTCTTCCCCCTTAGCAAATAGCAGATCTGACCTTCTCAATGAAGCCGTCTCTGACCACCATATCAAAATCACATACCTTTGCCCAGCCAGGTTGAGTGAATGAGTAGATGGGCAAGGACAATTCCAAGGTTTTTATTTTCACCTACTGGAAAGATAGAATCACCATTTACTGAGTGGGGCAGACTGTGGGAGAAGCAGATTTAGAGCAAGGAGAAGAATAGAGTCCAGCTTTGGACATACTAAGTTTGAGGTTCCTACTAAAAATCCAAATGGAGATGTGTAGGCAGCAGAGTATAGCACGTGAGGTTTGAGGACAGGTTTATGCTGAATATCGTTTTGTTTGTTTGTTTTTATTTTTGTCATTGTTGTTGTTTTTGAGACTGAGTCTCACTCTGTCACCCAGACTGGATGCAGTGGCACAATCGTGGCTCACTGCAAACCTCTGCTTCCCAGGTTCAAGTGATTCTCCTGCCTCAGCTTCCTGTTTTGTTGGAACTACAGGCACGCACCACCACACCTGGCTAATTTTTGCATTTTGTTCTTTAGTAGAGATGGGGGTCTTGCTATATTGGCCAGGCTGGTCTTGAACTCCTGACCTCAAGTGATCTGCCCGCTTCGGCCTCTCAAAGTGCTGGGAGTACAGGCATGAGCCACCGTGCTCGGCCACGCTGAATACATTTTAAAATCATCAGTCTACATGTGGAATTCAAAGCCATGAGAGAGTTGGGATCACCCAGCAAGAGAATGAGAGTAGAGAAAAGAACATTTCCTAGGATTGAACCTTGGAAAGAATAAATGTGGGAAAGAATAAACGTGAGCTAGAATAAAGGAATCGAGTAATCGAAAAATGATAAATCTATCCTGTCCGGAAAGTAAAGAAAGTGTTCCAAGCAGGAAAGAGTGATGTATCATGCCAAATACTACCGATACATCGCCTACTCTGAGCAATGAGAGTTGGCCATTAGATTAGCCACACAGAGATCACTCAAATCCAACAGAGAATCAAAAGAAAATCTTCACACCATAATCAAGTAAAATGTATTGCAGAAAATCAAGAGTGCTTCAACATCAGAAAATCTATTAATGTAATTCCCTACATTCAGACTAAAGGAAAGAAGTCATATAATCATTTCAATATATTATTTCAAATTTTATCAAAATACATTTGATAAAATTTAACACTCATTCCTGATTTTAAAAACACTTAGGAAACTAGGTATTATTTAATTTCTTAAACTTGATGAGGGATATTGGTATGTTAGAGCATAATCTATAGAAGGGGTTGTCAAACCTTTTCTAATAGGGACAAATAGTAAATATTGTAGGCTTTGCAGGCTACTTGCTGTCTCTGTTGCATGTTCTCCTTCCTCCTGTTCCTCCACCTTCTCCTCCTTCTTTCTCCTTCTTTTTCACCGCTGCAATTTCTCTATGACCCTTTAAAAACATAACAGCTGTTCTAGCTCTCAGGTCATACAAAAACAGGTCACTGGCCAAGTGGCCTTTAATTTGTCAATCCTTAATCCACAGTAAGTAATATTCAAATGGTGTAGAATTATTTGTTACATACTATTCAAATGGCTTAGATGTATCTCAATTAAATTTAAGGCAAGGATTCCTACTATTGCTGCCATTACTGTTATGAAAGAAATTGTAGGTAATGTGTTAAGGCAGAAAGTAAAAAAGGAAACAATAATTATACGTATTGAAAAGAGTTACAGATCCAGCATTTATTCACCTCTATTCCTTGCTAATAAGAACCCAAATTTTGTCCATTTTTAGTTGTCATGTTGGATGTGCTATCTGGAGTTGCTGCAGTCATTTTGTAATTGTGAGAAGAAGTAGCCTAAGAAAAACTTATACATTGGAATTGGAAAGATGTAAAAACCTGGATCAGCAATGACATCCTCGAGATGCTGTACTAACCAAGTCTGGAGCATTTGCCTCAGGGATGTACATTATGTACATTGTACATCTCTTTATTGTCTGAGTCTGTGACTATTATTTATAGTCAAAAGCATTCTGATTGGATATTTTTATTTGTAGGCTTTATCATTGCCTATCTAAAAAAAATCCAGAGAATAAACTGACTCAATAGAACTGCTAAAGTTGATGTATTCCAGAAAGTACTCTACCATGGTCAAGTTAGAAAAAATCAATAGCTCTCCTGTGCACACCAGTAACCAGTTAGAATCTATTATAGGAAATAGTTTTGTCTTTAACACAAGTGCCTCAACTTGATTTAACATTTTAATAAGAAGCTTAGACAAATTCAAGTCCTTTTGCTTTTTAAATTTAAATGTAACATAAATTTAAATGATACAAAACTTTTAAAATCTTAATAAAAATAAATTTAAAATGAAAATATCATAAGAAAATGTCTGATTGAATAAGAGAAAAACCATAAACTACATTTCTTTCTTTCTTTATTTTTTTTGAGACAGAGTCTCGCTCTGTTGCCCAGGCTAGAGTGCAGTGGCGTGATCTCGGCTCACTGCAACCTCCTCCTCACTGCAACCTCCTCCTCCTGGGTTCAAGCGATTCTCGTGCCTCAGTCACCCAAGTAGCTGGGATTATAGGTGTACGCCACCATGCCCAGCTAATTTTTGTATTTTTGGTAGAGTTGGGGTTTTGTCATGTTGGCCATGGTCTGGTCTCAAACTCTTGACCTCAAGTAATCTGCCCACCTCAGCCTCCCAAAGTTCAGGTAAGAGCCACCATCCCTGGCCCTGAACTACATTTTAAAAACTAACAATTAATGAATAAGAAACATTCATGTAAAAGTTTACTGAAAGATATAAAAGGAGATCTGAAGAAATAAAAAAGCCTACTAAATTCTGGGAAAAGGAATACTGTTGAAAATTGTCAACCCCCAATTAATAAACCATTCCAATATAATTTTTCATGGAAGTTAACTATCTCATTCTAAAATGAATCTGGAAAGGAAAAATGGATAAAAATAGACAAAGTTATTTTAAATGGAAAGGGAAGGCTTGCCCAGTGAGATATCAAAACTTAGTGTAATAATATCCAAAATAGTATGGTATTTTTGCAGGAATATGTAAACAGATGAAATAAAAACATGGTCACATACAAAAATCGACCCAGGTAGATATAGAAATTTATTTTAACAGTGGCATTTAAACTCAATAGAAACATGATGTCAATTCAATTTTTATTGAATTTATTTTTATAGGGATAATTAACTATCAATGTTTTTTACTTAACTTACAACCACTTACAAAAAATAAATTCCTGAAGGAATAACGACATAAATTTAAAGTCAAAATTATAAAAGTGATAAAATATATCTGTTTTTCTGACATTAGGAGAGACAAGCCCTCTTAAAATATGACCAAATCAAAAGATTGAGGGGCAAGATGGCCAGCTAGATGCTGCCAGGAGGAACAGCTGCCACCAATGGACTGGGGCACCAGAAGGACTGGCAGGACCCCTAGCAGATCTTCAGAGGGAAGGCATTGAGAGCAGATGGAAGAAAGATACAGAAGCGGGGCTGAAGAGGAAGGAAGCTGAGAACCATGTATGGGGCTACCGTGCATACCATGACTTGTTCCTGGTCCCAGTGACTCTGAGGGAATGGGTTAATTGAATAGGCAAGGAACAGCCCGCTCTTGCCACAGGCCTCTGGAATCCCAGCAGAAGGAAAGCCCATGACCACCACAGACACTTGAGCTGGCAACGAGAGCTGCTTAGAGAAATGGTAGGGGCAGAACTCCAGCCAGTGCAGAGCCCAGAGGATTTGGTGCGGGAACATCTGTAGTGGAGCATGAGCAGGAATGCCTGTTCCCCTAGGCTCAACTTGCTCCCAAAGGAGAATTTATGAAGAACTGTCAGACATGAACTCTGCAGGGTGGACCTGCCCGAGAGGGAGCTGGTCTGATCTGAGCATCCTTCAGTCTGCTGGCCTCTCCTGAGGCCCCAGCCTGGATGCACCTGCTTTCAGCGCAGCCCAGAGGGGAGGTACCTCCTGGGGCCTGCATGACAGTGCCTGTGCTGGCAGACAGTGTCTGACCAGCAGAGAGCTCCAGCACAGCGGCCCACATGGACATGTGCCAGGCTGCCCATGCCCTCCCCCCACAAACTTTCAGCATCCCCTGTTTCAGCTGCTTTGCCTATATGCACTTGTCCTCAGCCACCCCCCACATCACTTTGCCAGCATGTGTGTGCATGGGTGGTCCTTGCTTCCCTTTTTCTGCCAACCTGTGGGTCTGCATGCCCCCTTACTCCCTGTCATGCAAGTGCTGCCAGCATGAGTGCACTCTCCCCCTGCCAGTGCCCCATCCATGTGCTGACATTGCCACAGTGCAAAACTAGGCACAGAGAACAGCTGACCCATCCACCAGCACCCCACTCCTGTGCTAACACCACCACTGATGAGAATGTATGCACAGACACTGGGTGAGCGCAACACCCCCATGCTGTGCTGCCACCACTGCAAATGCTGCGAATGCTGCAAATGCTGCAAACACTGCCACCACTGTGAATGCTGTGAATGCTGCCACCACTGCTGCAAATGCTCACATGGAGGCTCTCACCCTGGCACCTGCTAGCACTCTGCCACAGGTGACTAGCACGCACCCTGCCATGCTGCCACTGCCACTGCCACTGGTATGGGCGAATGAGGATGGATTCTGCTGCCACCACCCTATAAAGAGCTTTGGCTGGCAGCACTCATGGGAGTGTTGTGACTAGCAGTGTGGGAGCACCTCAACCTCTCTGGTGCAGCCCATTCTCAAACATAAGGGGTCAGAGAACAATGAGAGGCTGATTCTACTCCCCCAGAGTTAGACCATGCAGTCCAGGGATATTGAGCTGAGCCTTGGCTCCCTAAAATCTTCAAGAAAGGAAACCTGTCAACTGAACCCACCTTATATCATAGTCAAACACCCAAATACAATAAAAGGAAAAAAAACCCAACCCATCTAAAGGACAGCAACTTTAAAGATTGAAGGAATATCAGCCCACAAAGATGAGAAAGAATGAGCACAAAAACTCGGACAATTCGGGAAGGCAGAAAACCTTCTTTCCTCCAAACAACTGCACTAGTTCTCCAGCAAGTGTTCTAAACTGAGCTGAGATGGCTGAAATGACAGAAATAGATTTCAGAATATGGATAGGAATGAAGATCATTGAGATTCAGGAAAACATTGAAACCCAATCCAAGGAAGCTAAGAATCACAGTAAAATGATACAGGAGCTGACAGACAAAATAGCTGGTCTAGAAAACAGTGTAACTGACCTGATAGAGAAGAAAAAAGCACTACAAGAATTTTATAATGCCATCACAGGAGAATAGACCAAGCAGAGGAATCTCAGAGCTTGAAGACTGGATTTCTAAAATAAAACAGTCAGACAAGAATAAAGAAAAAAGAATAAAAAGGAAATAATGAAACCTCTGAGAAATATGAGATTATGTAAAGAGACCAAATCTGTGACTCATTGGCACCCTGAAAGATAGGGACAATAGAAACAACTTGGAAAACATATTTCAAGATACCATGCATGACAACTTCCCCAATCTAGCTAGAGAGGTCAAGATCCAAATTTAGGAAATGCAGAGACCCCCCTGATCTCAACTACACAAAATACTTCACAAGAAGATCATCCCCAAGACACATAATCATCAGATTTTCCAAGGTCAAAATGAAAGACAATGAAAGGCAGCTAGAAAGAAAAGACAGGTTACCTACAAAAGGAAGCCTGTAAAACTAACAGCAGACCTCTCAGCAAAAACCCTGCAAGCCAGAAGAGACTGGGGGCTTATAGTCAACATTCTTCTTTTTTTTTTTTTTTTTTTTTTTTTTTTTTGAGACAGGGTCTCACTCTGTCACCCAGGCTGGAGTGCAGTGAGTGGTACAATCTCAGCTCTCTGCAACCTCTGCCTCCTGGGTTCAAGCAATTCTTCTGCCTCAGCCTCCAGAGTAAGTGAGACTACAGGTGCCCACCACCACGCCCAGCTAATTTTTGTATTTTTAGTAGAGACAAGGTTTCACCATATTGGCCAGGCTGGTCTCAAACTCCTGACCTTATGATCTGCCTGCCTTGGCCTCTGAAAGTGCTGGGATTACAGGCGTGAGCCACTGTGCCTGGCCATAGTCAACATTCTGAAAGAAAAGAATTTTCAACCAAGAGTTTCATATCTGGCCATACTAAGCTTCATAAGCAAAGGAGAAATAAGATCCTTTTCAGACAAGCAAATGTGGAGGGAATTTGTTACCACCCAACCTGCTTTACAAGAGCTCCTGAAGGAAGTGCTAAATATGGAAAGGAAAGACTGTTAGCAGCCACTACAATAACACACTTAAGTACACCAACCAGTGACACTATAAAGCAACAACACAAACAAGTGTGCAAAACAGCCAGCTAACAGCATGATGACAGGATCAATCCACACATATCAATACTAATCCTGAATGTAAATGGGCTAAATGCCCAATTGAAAGGCACAGAGTTGCAAGCTGGGTAAAGAAGAAAGACTCAATGGTATGCTGTTTTCAAGAGACTCATCTCCCATGCAATGACACCCAGAGGCTCAAAATAAAGGGATGAAGAAAAATCTACCAAGAAAATGGAAATCAGAAGAAAAGCAGGGGTTACAATCCTAATTTCAGACAAAACAGACTTTAAACCAACACAGATCACAAGAAAACACAAAGAAGGCCATTACATAGTGGTAAAGGATTCAATTCAACAAGAAGACCTAACTATCCTAAATATATATGCACCCAACACAGAAGCACCCAGTTTCATAAAGCAAGTTCTTAGAGACCTTCAAATAGACTTAGACTCCCAAGCAATAATAGTGAGAGACTTCAACACCCTACTGACAGTATGAGACAGATCATCAAGGCAGAAAATTAGCAAAGATATTCAGGACCTGAACGCAACATTGGACCAATTAGACCTGATTGACATCCACAGAACTCTACAACCATAAGCACCAAAATATACATTCTTCTCACCACCACATGGCACATACTCTAAAGATGACCACACAATTGGACATAAAACAATCCTCAGCAAATGCAAAAGAACTGAAATCACACCAGCCACTCTCTTGGACCACAGTGCAATAAAAATAGAAATGAAGACTAAGAAAATTGCTCAAAACCATACGATTACATGGAAATTAAACAAACTGCTCCTGAATGACTTTTGGGTAAATAATGAAATTAAGGCACAAATCAAGAAGTTCTTTGAAACTAGTGAGAACAATGATACAACATACCAGGATATCTGGGGCACAGCCAAGGCAATATTAAGAGGGAAATTTATAGCACTAAACACTCATATGAAAAAGTTAGAAAGTTCTCAATTTAAAAACCTAACATCACAACAGAAAGAACTAGAGAAGTAAGAGTAAACCAATCCCAAAGCTAGCAGAAGATAAGAAATAACCAAAATGAGAGCTGAACTGAAGGAGATTGAGACATGAAAACTATGCAAAAGATCAATGGACCCAGGAGTTTGTTTTTTTGAAAAAGTTAATAAAACAGATAGACTGCTAGCTAGACTAATGAAGAGAAAAACAAGCAATGGGGAAAGGATTTCTTATTCAGTAAATGGTTCTGGGATTCAATAAATAGTATGCTTGTGCATACACAGAAGAAGATTGAAACTGGATGCCTTCCTTATACCATATACAAAAACCAACTCAAGGTGGATTAAGGACTTAAATGTAAAACCCAAAACTAAAAACCCTGGAAGACAACCTAAGCAGTACCATTTTGGACGTAGAAACTGGTAAATATTTCATGATGAAGACATCAAAAGCAACTTGCAACAAAAGCAAAAATTGACAAATGGAATCTAATTAAACTAAAGAGCTGCTGTGCAGTAAAAGAAACTATTGAATAGGCAAACATTTCATGATGAAGACAGCAAAAGCAATTGCAACAAAAGCAAAAATTGACAAATGGGGTCTAATTGAACTAAAGAGCTGCAGTAAAAGAAACTATCAACAGAGTAAACAGCCAACCTACAGAATGGGAGAGAGTATTTGCAAATTTTACATCTAACAAAGGTATTATACCTAGCATATATAAGGAACTTAAACAAATTTACAAGAAAGAAACAAACAACCCCATTAAAAAAGGTCAAAGGTCATGAACAGTTTTCAGAAGAAATCATACACGCAGCCAACAGCATATGAAAAAATCTTTATATCATTGATCATTAGAGAAATGCAAATCAAAACCACAATGAGATACCATCTCACACCAGTCAGAATGACTGCTACTAAAAAGTGAAAAAAAAAGAACAAACAGATGCTGGTGAGGTTGCAGAGAAAAGGGAACACTTATGCACTGCTGGTGGGAATGTAAATTAGTTCCACCATTGTGGAAAACAATGTGGGGATTCTCAAAGAGCTAAAGACAGAACTACCAGTTGACCCAACAATCCCATTACTGGGTATATACTCAAGTGAGTATAAATCATTCCATTGTAAAGATACATGCAGCCACATGCTCACTGCAACACTTTTCACAATGGTGAAGACATGGAATCAACCTAAATGCCCATCAGACTAGAAGAAGAAAATCTAGTACATATACACCATGGAATACTATGCAACCATAAAAAAGAATGAGATCATGTCCTTTGCAGAAACATGGATGGAGCTGGTGGCCACTATCCTTAGCAAACTAATACAGGAACAAAACAAAATACCATGTTTTTACTTATAAGCGGGAGCTAAAAAATGAGAATACATGGACACATAGAGGGGGAAAATGCACACTGGGTCCTACTTGAGGGGAGAGGGTGGGGAAGGGAGGGAATCAGAAAAAATAATCTATTGTGTATCAGAGCAGTGTATAGAAAATATATACTGTTGGTGTATATATTTGGTGTATATATTGTTGGTGTACACTGTTGGTATAAGCATAAAGTTGTTTTGGTATGCATTGGGCAGTGCCTATGAAAAATTATTAAGAATTTTAATGGCTTTTATACTGACTAAGCAATTCAATTCCCAGATACATGTTTAAAGAACAGCTAGGAAATGTGTGCAAGAAGTCTTATTCAAAAATTTTAATTGTACCAATGTTTTAATTAGGCCAAGTTTGAAAAACAAAACAATGCCAAATACCTGAATTTCTATCAATAAAATAATGGTTACATAATTATAGGGTACAACTATAGTTTTGCATATTATAATTCAGTTAAAAAGAGTAGGTTACGTCTATCTTACACATAAAGACTCCCAGGACACATTGTTAAATAAAACCAGAAAGTAGCTGAGTAATACACACAATATGTTATAATTTAAGGGGAAAAATAGCACCCAGTAAAACTAAACCAGTGTGGTTAAACACGTATAAAAAGATCTAGAAGAATATGCTGTCAATAGTCTTACTTCTGGAAAGGGGACTGGAATTGGAGGTTGGTCAAGAGAGCACAATTACATTATATAGCTTAATATTTAAAATATGAGACTGTATTCACATATTAATTATACAATTAATAAACTCATAAATAAGAGCAATACATACTATAAAAAGACGCAAACAGAAAGTACAGAAGTGTATTAAATAGAAAGTGAACGTTTCCCTGTGAAACCTCTAGAACATAACCACCACAAAACCTTACATATCTTCTCCTAAAAATGTTTGTGCATGTATACAAACAAGTGATTTTTGTTTTTGAGAAATAAGATCATGTTCTAACTCTTAAAATTTTAATATATTATAATATCTGACACCTTTTAACAATAATTCACTCATTTAACAACTGTTTATTGAGCACATGCTCAGCACCAAACACTTTTCTAGGGTTGCCACTATTGTAGGCATGTAGATCTAACTCTTCCCTTTCACAAAATTGTGCAACGTTCTACTAATTGGATTCACTGTGATATTATGTTTTGCCAATACCTGATTTATGGAAATTTAGGTTGTTCCTACTTTTATACATGACACACACTGCCGTGATACACTTCAATGTTCAGAACTTGTACAGACATCTTTGCACACTTGTTTTGATATTTCCCTAGGATAAATTCCCCATAGTGGGATTGCTGGGCTAAAGGGAGTACACAATAAAATATTACTACGCCTTTTCACATTGTCTGTAGAAATCTTGTAAGATCAAGGTATGAGAATTCTTGATCCCAAATGCCTTCAACAATATTAGAAATTGTGTATCTTTTAAGTCTTTGGTGATGTGGAAGTCAAAATTACATCTCTGTTGGTTTTTTTTTCTTTTTTTATTATACTTTAAGTTTTAGGGTACATGTGCACAATGTGCAAGTTTGTTACATATGTATACATGTGCCATGTTGGTGTGCTGCACCCATTAACTCGTCATTTACATTAGGTTTATCTCCTAATGCTATCCCTCCCCCATTCCCCCACCCCACAACAGGCCCCGGTGTGTGATGTTCCCCTTCCTGAGTCCAACTGTTCTCATTGTTCAGTTCCCACCTATGAGTGAGAACATGTGGTGTTTGGTATTTTCTCCTTGCGATAGTTTGCTGAGAATGATGGTTTCCAGCTTCATCCATGTCCCTACAAAGGACATGAGCTCATCCTTTTTATGGCTGCATAGTATTCCATGGTGTATATGTGCCACATTTTCTTAATCCAGTCTATCATTGATGGGCATTTGGGTTGGTTCCAAGTATTTGCTATTGTGAATAGTGCCGCAATAAACATACGTGTGCATGTGTCTTTATAGCAGCATGATTTATAATCCTTTGGGTATATTCCCAGTAATGGGATGGGTGGGTCAAATGGTATTTCTAGTTCTAGATCCCTGAGGAATCGCCACACTGACTTCCACGATGGTTGAACTAGTTTACAGACCCACCAACAGTGTAAAAGTGTTCCTATTTCTCCACATCCTCTCCAGCACCTGTTGTTTCCTGACTTTTTAATGATTGCCATTCTAACTGGTGTGAGATGGTATCTCACTGTGGTTTTGATTTGCATTTCTCTGATGGCCAGTGATGATGAGCATTTTTTCATGTGTCTTTTGGCTGCATAAATGGCTTCTTTTGAGAAGTGTCTGTTCATATCCTTCACCCACTTTTTGATGGGGCTGTTTGTTTTTTTCTTGTAAATTTGTTTGAGTTCTTTGTAGATTCTGAATATTAGTCCTTTATCAGATGAGTAGATTGCAAAAATTTTCTCCCATTCTGTAGGTTGCCTGTTCACTCTGATGGTAGTTTCTTTTGCTGTGCAGAAGCTCTTGAGTTGAATTAGATCCCATTTGTCAATTTTGGCTTTTGTTGCCATTGCTTTTGATGTTTTAGACATGAAGTCCTTGCCCATGCCTATGTCCTGAATGGTATCGCCTAGGTTTTCTTCTAGGGTTTTTATGGTTTTAGGTCTAACATGTAAGTCTTTAATCGATCTTGAATTAATTTTTGTATAAGGTGTAAGGAAGGGATCCAGTTTCAGCTTTCTCCATATGTCTAGCCAGTTTTCCCAGCACCATTTATTAAATAGGGAATCCTTTCCCCATTGCTTGTTTTTGTCAGGTTTGTCAAATATCAGATAGTTGTAGATGTGTGGCATTATTTCTGAGGGCTCTGTTCTGTTCCATTGGTCTATATCTCTGTTTTGATACCAGTACCATGCTGTTTTGGTTACTGTAGCCTTGTAGTATAGTTTGAAGTCAGGTAGTGTGATGCCTCCAGCTTTGTTCTTTTGGCTTAGGATTGACTTGGCGATGCGGGCTCTTTTTTGGTTCCATATGAACTTTGAAGTAGTTTTTTCCAATTCTGTGAAGAAAGTCATTGGTAGCTTGATGGGGATGGCACTGAATGTATAAATTACCTTGGGCAGTATGGCCATTTTCACGATATTGATTCTTCCTACCCATGAGCATGGAATGTTCTTCCATTTGTTTGTATCCTCTTTTATTTTATTGAGCAGTGGTTTATAGTTCTCCTTGAAGAGGTCCTTCACATCCCTTGTAAGTTGGATTCCTAGGTATTTTATTCTCTTTGAAGCAATTGTGAATGGAAGTTCACTCATGATTTGGCTCTCTGTTTGTCTGTTATTGGTGTATAAGAATGCTTGTGATTTTTGCACATTGATTTTGTATCCTGAGACTTTGCTGTAGTTGCTTATCAGCTTAAGGAGATTTTGGGCTGAGGTGATGGGGTTTTCTAGATATACAATCATGTCATCTGCAAACAGGGACAATTTGACTTCCTCTTTTCCTAATTGAATACCCTTTATTTCCTTCTCCTGCCTGATTGCCCTGGCCAGAACTTCCAATACTATGTTGAATAGGAGTGGTGAGAGAGGGCATCCCTGTCTTGTGCCAGTTTTCAAAGGGAATGCTTCCAGTTTTTGCCCATTCAGTATGATATTGGCTGCGGGTTTGTCATACATAGCTCTTATTATTTTGAGATACATCCCATCAATACCTAATTTATTGAGAGTTTTTAGCATGAAGGGTTGTTGAATTTTGTCAAAGGCCTTTTCTGCATCTATTGAGAAAATCATGTGGTTTTGTCATTTGTTCTGTTTATATGCTGGATTACATTTATTGGTTTGCGTATGTTGAACCAGCCTTGCATCCCAGGGATGAAGCCCACTTGATCATGATGGATAAGCTTTTTGATGTGCTGCTGGATTTGGTTTGCCAGTATTTTATTGAGGATTTTTACATCGATGTTAATCAGGAATATTGGTCTAAAATTCTCTTTTTTTTCTTGTGTCTCTGCCAGGCTTTGGTATCAGGATGATGCTGGCCTCATAAAATGAGTTAGGGAGGATTCCCTCTTTTTCTATTGATTGGAATAGTTTCAGAAGGAATGGTACCAGCTCCTCCTTGTACCTCTGGTAGAATTAGGCTGTGAATCCATCTGGTCCTGGAGTTTTTTTGGTTGGTAAGCTATTAATTATTGCCTCAATTTCAGCTCCTGTTATTGGTCTATTCAGAGATTCAACTTCCTCCTGGTTTAGTCTTGGGAGGGTGTATGTGTCGAGGAATTTATCCATTTCTTCTAGATTTTCTAGTTTATTTGCATAGAGGTGTTTATAGTATTCTCTGATGGTAGTTTGTATTTCTGTGGGATCGGTGGTGATATCCCCTTTATCATTTTTTATTGCATCCATTTTATTCTTCTGTCTTTTCTTCTTTATTAGTCTTCCTAGTGGTCTATCTATTTTGTTAATCTTTTCAAAAAACCAGCTCCTGGATTCACTGATTTTTTGAAGGGTTTTTTGTGTCTCTATTTCCTTCAGTTCTGCTCTGATCTTAGTTATTTCTTGCCTTCTGCTAGCTTTTGAATGTGTTTGCTCTTGCTTCTCTAATTCTTTTAATTGTGATGTTAGGGTGTGAATTTTAGATCTTTCCTGCTTTCTCTTGTGGGCATTTAGTGCTATAAACTTCCCTCTACACACTGCTTTAAATGTGTCCCAGAGGTTCTGGTATGTTGTGTCTTTGTTCTCGTTGGTTTCAAAGAACATCTTTATTTCTGCCTTCATTTCGTTATGTACTCAGTAGTCATTCAGGAGCAGGTTGTTCAGTTTCCATGTAGTTGAGCAGTTTTGAGTGAGTTTCTTAATCCTGAATTCTAGTTTGATTGCACTGTGGTCTTAGAGACAGTTTGTTATAATTTCTGTTCTTTTACATTTGTTGAGTAGTGCTTTACTTCCAACTATGTGGTTAATTTTGGAATAAGTGCAGTGTGGTGCTGAGAAGAATGTGTATTCTGTTGATTTGGGGTGGAGAGTTCTGTAGATGTCTATTAGGTCCACTTGGTGCAGAGCTGAGTTCAATTCCTGGATATCCTTGTTAATTTCTGTCTCGTTGATCTGTCTAATGTTGACAGTAGGGTGTTAAAGTCTCCCATTATTATTGTGTGGGAGTCTAAGTCTCTTTGTAGGTCTCTAAGGACTTGCTTTATGAATCTGGGTGCCCCTGTATTGGGTGCATATATATTTAGGATAGTTAGCTCTTCTTGTTGAATTGATCCCTTTACCATTACGTAATGGCCTTCTTTGTCTCTTTTGATCTTTGTTGGTTTAAAGTCTGTTTTTAATTAGAGACTAAGATTGCAATCCCAGCCTTTTTTTGTTTTCCATTTGCTTGGTAGATCTTCCTCCATCCCTTTATTTTGAGTCTATATGTGTCTCTGCATGTGAGATGGGTTTCCTGAATACAGCACACTGATGGGTCTTGACTCTTTAACCAATTTGCCAGTCTGTGTCTTTTAATTGGAGCATTTAGCCCATTTAGATTTAAGATTAATATTGTTATGTGTGAATTTGGTCCTGTCATTATGATGTTAGCTGGTTATTTTGCTCATTAGTTGGTGCAGTTTCTTCCTAGCCTTGAAGGTCTTTACAATTTGGCATGTTTTTGCAGTGACTGGTACCGGTTGTTCCTTTCCATGTTTAGTGCTTCCTTCAGGAGCTCTTGTAAGGGAGGTCTGGTGGTGACAAAATCTCTCAGCATTTGCTTGTCTGTAAAGGATTTTATTTCTCCTTCACTTATGAAGCTTAGTTTGGCTGGATATGAAATTCTGAGTTGAAAATTCTTTTCTTTAAGAATGTTGAATATTGGCCCCACTCTCTTCTAGCTTGTAGAGTTTCTGCCAAGAGATCAGCTGTTAGTCTGATGGGCTTCCCCTTTGTGGGTAACCCAACCTTTCTCTCTGGCTGCCCTTAACATTTTTTCCTTCATTTCAACTTTGGTAAATCTGACAATTATGTGTCTTGGAGTTGCTCTTCTCAAGGAGTAACTTTGTGGCATTCTCTGTATTTCCTGAATTTGAATGTTGGCTTGCCTTGCTAGATTGGGGAAGGTCTCCTGGATAATATCTTGCAGAGTGTTTTCCAACTTGGTTCCATTCTCCCTGTCACTTTCAGGTACACCAATCAGAAGTAGATTTGTTCTTTTCACATAGTCCCATATTTCTTGGAGGTTTTGTTCATTTCTTTTTATTCTTTTTTCTCTAAACTTCTCTTCTCACTTCATTTCATTTATTTGATCCTCCATCATTGATACCCTTTCTTTCAGTTGATTGAATCGGCTACTGAAGCTTGTGCATTCGTCATGTAGTTCTCATGCCATGGTTTTCAGCTCCATCAGGTCCTGTAAGGACTTCTCTGCATTGGTTATCCTAGTTAGCCATTTGTCTAATCTTTTTTCAAGGTTTTTAACTACTTTGCCAAAGGTTCGAACTTCTTCCTTTAGCTCAGAGAAGTTTGATCGTCTGAAGTCTTCTTCTCTCAACTCATCAAAGTCATTCTCCTTCCAGCTTTGTTCCATTGCTGATGAAGAGCTGCATTCCTTTGGAGGAGGAGAGGCACTCAATTTTTAGAATTTTCAGTTTTTCTGCTCTGTTTTTTCCCCCATCTTTGTGGTTTTATCTACCTTTGGTCTTTGACGATGGTGACGTACAGATGGGGTTTTGGTGTGGATGTCCCTTCTCTTTGTTAGTTTTCCCTCTCACAGGCAGGACCCTCAGCTGTAGGTCTGTGGGAGTTTGCTGGAGGTCCACTCCAGACCCTGTTTGCCTGGTTATCAGCAGTGGAGGCTCAGTTGGAAATGTAGAAATCATCCATCTTCTGCCTCACTCATGCTGGGAGTTGTAGACTGGAGCTGTTCCCATTCAGCCATCTTGGAACCGCCCCCACATGTCCATTATTTTAACTTGTATGTCTTTGGTGATAAATGTGGTTAAGCCTATTTCAAAGCTCTATTAACCATTTTTATCTTTTTATGAATTGCCTGTTCACATCTTTTGTTTATTTTCTGCTGTAATATTCATCTTTTTCTTATTCAAGTATTCTAAAGACATTAAACTGATGTTTGCCAAATATTTTCAAAATCTGGTACATTGAAGTCTTGTGCTTCCCTTAAAAACATGCATGGCTGAAGACTGGCTGGGCTAAATAATCGCAAAACTAATTAGTGGTAGGACAGAAATGGACTTTAAGGGACCTGACTCCCGGTATAGGGTTTTATCCCACTTCACCCTGGTGCTTCCAGAAAAGATAAAAGAGTTTTGTAATAATCAGAAGTAAAAATATTAACATATCAGTCACTGTTCTATTAGCTTAAAGCAGCAAAGGGTAAATTATGTTGTTTGCCAATGTTTTACAATACTTCTCATAACAGCTTTAAAGCCACAAATTCTTGGCTAAGTCCTGCTGATTCTACAAATATTAAGGTCCTAGGTATTACAGTTTTGAATTAGTCAGAATTCTTTGGGCTACAAGTTACAGATAACTAACTTGAATCAGTTTAAGGTCAGCAGAGGCATATTGGAAAGATTTTAGGACAAGCCACTATCTGTGGGAAGAGCTGACATGTGATGCCTGCTTTGGGGCTTAGAGTCTTGATCACTAATAACCTTCAAGACTTGCTCTTTTTCACCCCTGGTTTCTCTCCTGTGGCAGAGTGATTTGTCAACATGGAGGTAAAAATGGTGACCAACGGTTCCTGAGCCTCACTCTCCTTGATTATACTTCTACACAATGACTTGATTATATTAGGTTGGTGAAAAACGAATTGCGGTTTTGCCACTAAAAGTAATGGCAAATTAGAAGTAATGGCAATGCCATTAAAAGTAATGACAAAAACTGCATTACTTTTGCACCAACCTAATACTACTACTAGATTATACCCATTTCACTTTGCCTCTGCTATTTTAAAACTCAACACTGATAGTGACACTAATAGTGTTGAGTTTTAAAATAGCAGAAAACAATTATAATTAAGTCACCTTTAGTCTAGTGCCCACTGCTTGCCTATGAGAAAAGCCAGCATCCATTCAAGCCCTGTGTTTGGAGTAGGCAAGGACATTCCCCAGAAGGAACAGGGGAGACATTCTGAAGATGGAAGGGGCACTTGCCACTATCCCAGTCTAGAGGGACCCATGTGCTAACCTGCTCCCCATCTCCCCTCCAATAGTTTTGTATTTCTATGTCACACATACCTATTAATCTAGTTCAGGGAGAGCACATGCTGACTGATTAGTCATGGCTGTCTCATGGGATAATAGGAGACTAGTTCTGATATCTCAGAGAATAGAGTGCTCTTATCAGATAGTTATGTCTGCCATAAATGTGAGAAGGGAGGAGCAGCACTTGTTTTGGGTAATTTCCATTCCTTTTCAAGTTCTTCTGTGTTTCAAATGTAATCAAAAGGTTAAAAAAGGTGCTTCATTTTCTTCCCCCAGTAGAATTGTTGAGAACGAGGATGTGTTCTTCACTATGTCAGTGTTAGTCGCAAACAGTAAGAGATGAGTGAAAGGTGGCTGGGATGTGGCACGGCAGAAGCTGTTTTTTTTTTTTGAGTATGCTAATGTGGGTACTTGTAAAAACTGATACTGCTTAATATTCCAAACTCTGTGATTCTTTCCTTATGTTGCTTACTAAAGTTTTATTCAGCATCCACTCTGTGACAGACACTGTGCTGGGCTCTAGGAATATAAAAGAGAGAAAAAAAATAGCTCTTGTCCTCCAGGAGCTCTTTCTTTATTAGTGGTGAGACCCAAGTAGATGAAGGAGTTTCAAGTGGTCAAGTAGAGTGACTTATTTCTAGAGTTGTGCGGAATAATTTAGAAGCACAGAGGCTGGGCAGCTAAATGAGACAGGTAGGAAAAGAGGGCTTCTCTGAAGGGTAGCACTTGAGCAGTTTGGAAGGACAAGATGAAGATGCTAAAGAATTAAGGAAGAGAATGGAAGGGATTCCAGGGGAATTTTAGAGGGAACGAACTGAAATGTCATGGAGGTAGTAAACAGCATGACATACGTAGGGAGTAATTAGTTGTTCAGTGAGGTTGGAGCAAGGATGTGTATAAGGGTGTGACAGGGATAAGATTAGAGTGACAGGCAAAAGCAAGGACAAAAAGGACCTCAAAGGCTAAGCCAAAGAGACTGGCTTTTATCCTGGAAATTGTAGAGCCATAAAGGATTTTCAACAAGAGAGTAGTGACAAGTTCAGATTTGTAATTTAGAAATATCTCTGGAACTCTACAGGATTTGAATGGGTTGAATGAGTTGAAATTGTGGGCAGAGGGACCCCATCAGAGACTCTTGCTGAAACCTTGTCAGATAAGAGATGACAAGGACTTAACCAGAAAAGTGGCCTGGAAAAGGAAAGTACAGAGCAGGTGCAATTAGTACCAGGAAGGTGGAATCCTCAGGACAAAGTAACTAGCTAGATGGGGGTGGGCATGAGGGAAAAGGAAACAGTCTAGGTTGGTTCTCAGGCTTGTTAACCAAAAATAAAATCCTAAGCCTCCCCACCTACTGAACTGACCCCCTCTTGGTCAAGGGGACCCCAGGAAAACGTGAAAAACTGCATTCCTGTCCATGATGAATAATGAAGTCATACCCTCTCCCTTTTGGGGTTTAGGCACAATTGACCAGCATTAACACTGAAATAGTGAAAGACTGACAAAACAGACTCTTTTTGTCAATAAGATATCAAATTCCAACCTGACTCTGGTATAGCATCACATGACAGATAGCACACCCTGAAGGAAATGAAAATATTTTACCCCTAAATATATTTCTTTGACATATTTTGAAATGTCCTGCAAAGCCATGTCTTGTGGAGGAAACCTGCATCTGTAAAGAATCTTCATTAATGCAGCCAGAACTTCCCTTTCTAGGTCTTTCCTGGATCTAGGAGAGATTAAATGAGAGTCTGACACCTTAAAGTTCTGAAGAGAGACATTTACCATCTATTCTCTCTGAAGGCTGCTATCTGGAGTCTTCATCTATATTATGATCTTATTACAACATTGGTCTCCACAACCCGCCCCTTATCTTAACTCAAACATTTCTTCCTACAGACTTCAGATCTTTAGACAAAGCTTAACTCTTTCAACCAACTGCCAATTAGAAAATCTTTGAATCCACCTATGACCTGTAAGCCCCCTCACCCAACCCCTCACCTCTCCTCCCACCCCCCAACTTCAACATATCTTGCCTCTTTAGGCTGAACCCATGTATACCTTTCATGTATTGATTTATGAATTTACTTATAATTCTTGTCTTCCTAAAATGCATAAAGCAAAATGGTAACCTGACTGCCTTGGTTATACTTTTTCAAGATAGCTTGAGACTGTACCCTGGGGCATGGTCACTCATATTGGCTCAGAGTAAATCTCTTTAAATATTTTACAGAATTTGGTTATTCTGTTAACATGCTTCTGGCTTGGATACCTGGAAGAAGGCTGATGTCTGTTTCCAAGATGGAGAACCCAGAAGGAAGTGTTTGATTGATGGCCAAATGTAAGGAAGGCTTGACTTTTAGAGGGATTTTAAATTTATCTAAACTAATGGCATTAAGGCTTACAAAAGTTAATGATAATCCCATATTATTGATGCAACTGCATTATTTTAATCATCTAAATTTGCATATTATCATATATGAACATATTTAAATTTTTTCAATTCTAAGCATATATTAAATCATTTCAATGACTGCAATTACTGGAAAGATCCCTTTGTTTCCATTTCCCCAGATAACAGGTTACAGAAGGTCATTTAGTAGGCCTGATAATCATTAACTAATACAACTTAATTGAAGTTTCAAATTCTGTGTTGACAGGAATTGAATATTCAAAGGCAATGACATTGATTAACTGTAAGAGATTACTTCTTTTCAGATGATGCAATAACTGATGTTATTTTCAAATGAAAAAGAAAGGGATTTACATGCTAAGTATTTTCCTTGTGTTGCTTTCAATAGGGCCATCTAAAAACAATAAAATCATCAGGTTTTCAGTGCAGCATCAGAACCAAGGTGAAAAAGTTCCCTTTTCTAATAACAAAACTGTTACCCCAATTAATACTCAAAAGAAGTCCAACTAGATGAATAAAGGAGTCCATCATCTCCTGAACTGGAAGCAGACATTCCAGCATCTTCCAGGGTCTTCACTCTTTTATTCTCTGCCTGATATTCTGACCTTCAAAAGACAAAAGTGTGTTGTGTTGCATGTTAGTTGAAACCATCCACACTCCCATGAAGGTCTAGATGTAGGGTTAAGCAGAATCAACAGTGAAGTGTCTGTGCACTCTACCCATGGTAGTTATTCCTTTGGCCGAGACTGCTGGTTGCTTTCCCAGTCTCTCTTCCTTCTCTACCTTAGCAACAGATTGTATTTGGGACAGCCATATACCAAGCTAATGACAGCTATATACCAAGCTAATGACAGCCATATACCAAGCTGCATTTCTGAACTTTCCTTGCATTTATAGGTGGACAATCAATAAAATGTATGAGGAATGTTGTTGGATGGGGCTTCCTGGAAATTCCTTAAAAGGGCCTGATTCAGCTGGGATGAGTTCCTTTTTGCCACCTAACAAAAAACAGCCCTAATTTATAGACCACTATAGTCAGGTCACAATGCAAACAGACAGAAGCAATTCCTCACTGGTAAAAATTACCATAAGCATTGAAAAGTTGTGCTTCAATACTTCTCTGAACCATAAAACAAATCCTCTCATCATCTTTATGTGATACAAGAGGGTAAACACTGCTATTTACATCTGAAGGACCAGTTACAAAAAGTCCTCAGGCCTGAACGTTTTTAAATTCAGTAGGTAAGGGACAGAAAACCCTGCTACGGCTGGATCTGGGCCCTGAGTGAAAAGATCTTTGTTCTTTTCACTGGATCCTTCAGTAACCGAAATAAAGTAATTAGAAAGTCTTTTTAGAAAGTCAGTTTATCTAACAGATTAGTGGTTTATAATTTAATAACATAGCAGTCCATATGTTGTTATGAAGTACCTGTGAGAGAGAGAAGAATGGAGATGTGGTTAAGAGTGGAATCCTAGCTCAATCACTTTCTGACTCTAGGACCCTGAACCAGGTGCTTTAAAAGAAAAAGCTTTATCTAAAATGAGAATGATAGTGGCAACCAACTCAGAGAGTTGTATGAAGATTAAATGAGATAATAGATGTTTGGTTCTTCACACCTGTCTTGGAAACTAATAAATAAGCAGTTCATGTTAGCCATTATTATTTTATGGCCCACAGAAACCAACATTTTAGCTATAATTAGGTTCAGAGATAAGAAATAGAAAGAGCTCAAGTAACTGTAGCTTAGATAAGGTAAAAATAATTGTCATGTAAAAGTCCAGATTTCTGTTTTCTGTGCCTGGAATGGTGGCTCTTCTCCATGAGGTTCTTCCTCCAACTTAAATATTAACTCTGCTATTTAATTTTTCCTAGTCAAACCTTAATTTTTTTATTTGTTTGTTTGAGATGCAGTCTCACTCTTGTTGCCCAGGCTGGAGTACAGTGGCGCGATCTCGGCTCACTGCAACCTCAGCCTCCTGGGTTCAAGTGATTCTCCTGCCTCAGCCTCCTGAGTAGCTGGGATTACAGGTGCCCACCACCACGCCAGGCTAATTTTTGTATTTTTAGTAGAGACGGGGTTTCACCACCTTGGCCAGGCTGGTCTCAAACTCCTGACCTCATGATCCACCCACCTTGGCCTCCCAAAGTGCTGGGATTACAACCGTGAGCCACTGTGCTAGGCCACCTTGATTTCTTTAGAGTATATATTTAGTAACTTTATTTCTTTTTTTGTACCTGCATATTCTGCTTATGTAACTACTAGCTTTAAAAATTCTGAATTCAAAGAACAATGTCCAATTACATAAGCAATTAAGATGATGTCATTAGAGGTGGGTAGAGATTAGAAATCTACTATAGCATCATCGGAATCCAAGTGAGAGGTGAAGGTTCTGGAGTTTGAAGCCTGAGGGAATCAAGTCTGTGAAAAAAAGAGCTGCTAGAGAGAAATGCAGAAAGTTAATTACTGTTTGAAGATATCATTGTTAGAGTGTGAGAAGAAGAAAAGAGATGAGCAAAACAAAACAAAACAAAAAATAAAAACTAAAAAGTGAATATTCTTAATCTAATGGTTTATTTCCAGACACACATGCAAACTTTTTAGGAGCACACACAGATGCAATAGACCCATATATAGAGGGCAGCAAGACTGAATATAAGATTCAGCATAAGGAGAGATTGTGTATAAAGTGGTATGGACAGATTGGACGGAGAGGAGTGTATGTTCATTTGTAGCATGTTTTGGACAAGGCCCTAGATTTTGGTTTGAGTGGTGGTTTCACTGCCACTAAGTTACCATATATTACTTAACAATAACTCTTATACAAAGGTGAACACCAGAAGAGAAATAAACTCTAACAGGCCAATTATTACAAAGAAATCGCTTCCCAAACAGAAAATATGAAGGGAGAAAAGATCACAGTTATAATATGAACAAAAAGGATGAACTCAGAAATTAATGAGAAAGGTACACTCTTAGGGTTTTGGAGACTGGGGGTTTACATGTCAGCTTTAGAAATAGTGCCATTTTTCTGGGCTCCGCATCCTCATCTAGAAATAAGAGAATCAGGTTACACAATTTTAGAATCTCTTTCAGCTTTAATAGGCTGTGTCTATACACACTTCCTTGTTGAAATTTTCAATGAACTTGTCTGTAGCGTAAGTATTTCCGTGACCTTTCATTGCCTCTAGTAAATATCTTGACTAATCATCTAGAACATAAAAACAAAAACATTGTTTTTAAAACCTGAACAGGAAGAAAAATTGTTTAAAGTAGTTATCTTTTTATTTCTCTATTTTGTTTGGGGGAAATAAAGATCTGAGTGCCTGGGATGTGAGATGTCTCCTGATGGTTAGTATGATTTGCAGTGCTATATCCCTTCTGGCTTTATTTTTATGCATATATTTCTGAAATTTTAGTGAGAGGCAAATAATGGAATGTGGTTGTTTTGTATTGGAGAGAATAATACATTTAGGTCAAAAGAACTATGTCTGACTCCAGCTTTGCTGGTTAGTAGTGGTTAGTACCATTTGACCTTACATAAATCAGTTCACTACTAAATAGAAGAGTCCTGATCTATACAATGAGATAGTAATATAACCTCTGCAGGGTTGCTGTGAACATAGAAAGTAGTAGTATAATGTCATTTTATAAAATGTAAAATGTTATGCATACTTCTTAAATTATTTCACTAGCAGATTGCGAAAATTCTATTTTGAAAGTTTCCTATGTATGCATGTCTTGCTTGATCTGAAAAGAAGTACCCTATTGTTTGTGCAGTCAATATTGGCTTGGCTTTGTTGCCTCCAAATTGAGTGCTTTTTCAACATGCTGGAAGACATTTTTAGAGGTAGTGTTTTCCCCCTCTGTCGAATAGATGATTTCATGTATTCAAATGCCTCCTCTGAATTGCACTCCAAGAGTTTTGATAAAGAATGCTGCTTATGGGCAAAATTATACAAAATGGAAAGCCTTCGTTTCTGACAAAGTAATCTCATCTGTCTAGATTTTGCAAACAGTGGGGTCAGGATGGCTGGGATTAGGGGTTCCTTAAACATTGCTTGAGTTTTCAAACTCAAATGCTTCCAGGGGCCAGGGCCATGCGGGTAATGAATGGCAACCCCTAAATGATAATCTTTTACTTTCTTCTTCTTCTTCTTCTTTTTCTTCTTTTGCAGAGACAAGTGAACATTTATTTTTGTGCCTTTCTCCCTACGTGTATTTCAAGTCTTTTTCAAAACAAGGCCCCAGGAATCTCCAGATTCAATTATGTCCCTGGGCTTGGTCGACTACTGCAGGAGTCTTAGGGACTCTTGTACAAAAGCTAGAGTTACTCAGTTACCAACATTAAACCCTGGGATAGAAGATGCAACAAAGCAGATCGCCTTCCTCCATGGAATGTGCTGATTTCAGACGAGGCGGCAGCCAATGTAGAAAACGCTGGCATTTTTCCTTGGAACTGGACTGTGAAGAGAGGTGCTTGCCATGAACATAAGCTACTGTCTTCTTTTTTTTTTTTTTTTCAAGACTGAGTTTCACTCTTGTTGCCAGGGCTGGAATGCAGTGGTGCGATCTCGGCTCACCACAACCTCCACCTCCCGGGTTCAAGCGATTCTCCTGCCTCAGTCTCCCGAGTAGCTAGGATTACAGGCATGCTCCACCACGCCCGGCTAATTTTTGTATTTTTAGTAGAGACAGGGTTTCTCCATGTCGGTCAGGCTAGTCTCGAACTCCCAACCTCAGGTGATCCGCCCGCCTCAGCCTCCCAAAGTGCTGGGATTACAGATGTGAGCCACCACAGCTGGCCATCTATTGTCTTTTCTTTGACCCTTCCTTTCCAGTTTTTGAAGATAAAGCAGGAAATAATCTCTGAAGATACTTGATAAAAATTTCCTCCCAAAACACAAAAACACATGCTTCTACTTCATTGATAAAAATTTACTGCAGTTTGGCACCTGGGTCTAGTTCAGCTGGTGGATGAGCTGATTGATGCATTCACCCTGATAGCCAGGTGTGCCCATCTCCTTGAGGAAGCCCACTCTATTTTGGGTAGCATGATGGGCCACTGAGAGGTGGATAGGGCGCAAGAACCATGAGATCTCCTGGAAATGCTTCCCTGGGAGGGCAGTTTCATGAATGAGGTCTTCCAAACAAATGAGCCAAACTTCCCCAGGTGCTCCTCAATCACTGTGTTGTGTGTCAGAGGGATGGTCTTATTCTTGACCTTGGCTTGTCCATGTTTCAAAGTGAGTTCCCGGACACACTTCAGATTTGGAAATCCCCAGGTCACATAAGGTTCCACTATACACAGCATTTTTAGGTTCTAGGGGGTGACTTTTACAAAGACAACACTAAAAATTTTCTTCAGGCGAAGTCTTGCAATGGTTCTCTGCAGCAGTAAACTCACGCTATCAGTCCTTTCTATGTGTACAGCAAAGGCCAAGGAATGTTTATTTGGCAATTCCAAGATGTGGGGTTTTACTACTAGTCACCTGAGACACACCTCGTCACGTTTCTGCCACCAGGAATCATGTAGGAATGATTCCAGTCGTTTAAATCGGAGCCCTTTTCCTTTCCTCTGCTCCTTCTTTGCCAAACTGCCTGCTTTGCCTGGGTGGCTTTGCGGGCTTGATAAGCCTTCCTCTTTTTCAGGAGATTTTCTAGAACCAAAGGAGTTTTTCTTTGCTCTTGCTCCACCATCTTTCTCGTGTTGCTCTTTTACTTTCTTCTTAATTGAACAGCAACAAAACCAGCATAAGCTTATTGATAAATGTCAAGTGGCACTCTCATGGGGAGAAGAGAGAATGTTGGGGATATTGTAAAATCAACTGCAAATACCCATCTAAAGGGGGTGTCTACTACTCAGTGATAACCAATTATTGCCGATCTGACTTTTCAGGAAGGACTCCATATCTTTTTATGTCTAAAATGCTCATAGATAATTCAAATTTCAAAAATCACTGTGCTGATCAATGCTGTTTATGGGGAGGAAATGTTCTGTGCTGGCTTCCAGTGGCCAGATGATGACCACTAAGTGAGACATGTATTATTGGGGGAAAACATATTTTTGCAATTAATAAGAGTCTCTTGTTCATCCCTTTCCATCCAGAATTCTCTCTCGCATTTTAGGTCTCATAACACTGAATCTATAATTATTTACTAAATGCATTGTTTCTTCTAGTTTTCTCTTGACTAGAAGGTAGATTGGAGAAGGCAAGGAATTAGATTTCTGAGGTCCCCAGGTCAGTGTTTCTTAAACTTGAGTTCAGCAGAAGAGTCTCTTAAGATCTTAGTAGCAGGGATTCTGATTCGTTCAATTGAGGTGAATCCCACATATACACTTTTTTACAAAATACAATTTCAAGATGATTTGGTTGCAGAATAAATCTCACATGACACTTTGAAAAATGTTTCCTTAAAGCAGTGGTTGGGCTCTTCTATTTTTCTCCTTTGTCCAGGACCTATGGACTGTTCAGTTTGCACACATTTCCTTCCCTCCTTCCTTCCTTCCTTCCTTCCTTCCTTCCTTCCTTCCTTCCTTCCTTCTTTTCTTCCTTCCTTCCTTTCATTTCTTTCTTTCCTTCTTTCTTTCTTTTTTGATGGAGTCTCACTCTGTCGCCAGGCTGGAGTGTAGTGGCGTGATCTTGGTTCACTGCAACCTTCACCTCCCAGGTTTGAGCAATTCTCCTGCTTCGGCCTCCCAAGTAGCTGAGACTACAGGCGCGTGCCACTATGCCCAGCCAATTTTTTTGTATTTTTAGTGGAGACGGGGTTTCACCATGTTGGCCAGGATGGTCTTCATCTCTTGACCTCATGATCTGCCTGCCTCGGCCTCCCAAAGTGCTGGGATTACATGTGTGAGCCACCGCACCTGGCCTGCACACATTTTTGTAAATAAATGTGCTCACTCAGTCCAGGTGGATCACAGGTAAAGAAGGCCAGTTTTGTATCATGCTCTTCTCCTCCTGCTTGATGGAGTGGGAACAGAGGTGGGGTAGGGCACAACCAGGCTCCATGACCCACTGCTCTATGTTATCTAGCACAGAGCTGGGTCCCTTTATAGGATACTCTTTACTGTTCTTTGTTTTAAAAATTTACTGTTACACCAATGCATAATTTTAAAATTCTCACTTTTAGGAGAGTGATCAAAAGAAGCCAACTTGCTTTCCTACTTTCCTGGTCAATAGCAAGAATTCATGTACGATTTGAAGCTCCTGCAGCATATTAACCCAAACAAAGCATTGGTAAACCAGAGACGGTGCAACCGTCCAGGTATGATTCTAATTGTTCCAGGAAAAGGCCAGTTCTGTGTGATATGAGTGCTCAAAAAAAATTATTTTTTTGGTAAACCGGTATTGTCTATTCCTTACTTCAGATGGAAAAGTAACACTTATGTAAAGCAGCATTGTAAACAGAGATGTGCTTCCTTCCTTCCTTCCTTCCTTCCTTCCTTCCTTCCTTCCTTCCTTCCTTCCTCCCTTCCCTTCCCTTCCCTTCCCTTCCCTTCCCTTCCCTTCCCTTCCTTTCCTTTCCTTTCCTTTCCTTTCCTTTCCTTTCCTTTCCTTTCCTTTCCTTTCCTTTCCTTTCCCTTCTCTTCCCTTCCTTCCCTCCCTTCCTCCCTCCCTCCCTTCCTTCCTTCTTTCTTTCCTTCCTTTCTTCTTTCTACAGGGTCTCACTGTATCACCCAGGATGGAGTGCAGTGGTGTGATCATAGCCCACTGCAGCCTGGAACTCCGGGGCTCATGCAATCCTCCTGCCTCAGCCTCCCAAGGAGCTGGGACTACAAGTATGCACCACCATGTTTGGCTAATTTTTAAAAATTTTTATAGAGACAGTGTCTCACTCTGTTCCCCAGGCTGGTTTCAAACTCCTGACCTCAAGCAATCCTCCCACCTCATCTCCCAAAGCCAACATGCCCAGCCCTTTTCTTAAATATTCATATAGGAAACTTTGTTACCTTTATTGCCAACAAAGAAGAAGTATTGTCAGGATTAATATACCCATGGAAATCTAATTCTGACCTCTGCCAAGCACAGTAATAAGGGGGAAATGTATTTTGACTATTAAGTATAACTTTCTTTACAAAATCTCTGATTTTAAGTGATTGCCTGACATTCCATCTTGGCACCTTTAGCCAAATTACCAATTTTTCATTGTTTGTTCTGTTTTGTTTTTGAGACCGAGTCTCCCTCTGCTGCCAGGCTGGAGTGCAGTGGCACGATCTCGGCTCACTGCAACCTCCGACTCCCTGGTTCAAGTGATTCTCCTGCCTCAGCCTCCCGAGTAGCTGGGATTACAGGCATGCGCTATTATGCCCAGCTAGTTTTTGTATTTTTAGTAGAGACAGGGTTTCACCATGTTGGCCAAGCTGGTCTCGAACTCCTGACATCGTGATCCACCCGCCTTGGCCTCCCAAAGTGCTGGGATTACAGACATGAGCCACCGCGCCCGGCCTAATTTTTCATTGTTAATGAACCACTTTGACAGGGAAATTCGCAGATTTTCTTTCTAGGTAAGCTAGGAGGCTTTCACATAAATATTCACTTAATTCCATTGACAACCTGGAAAGAGGGCTTTGTTTCTCATTCTACAGGTAAAGATGCTAAGGCTCAGTGAGGCTAATAAAGTTTCTCAAAATCACAAACCAAGTCAGTGCAAGAGCAGACATCAGCCATGCCTTAACTGTATACTACTTTGCAGAGGGCATATCAGTTGAGATTCTTTTTGTTGCAGTTAACAAGAAGCAGCGGGAGTTTTGTAGTAACTGTCAGAGTGGATGGGAGATTAGACAACTGAAGAACCAAGACAAGTCTTAGAACAGCTTCCAGATATCTAGCCAGCAGGATCCTCTCTGGGCTTCTCTTTAGAATGAAAAGCTCAAAAATTGTCTTCCTTGTCTTAATTCAGCTTGCTGGCAATTCAAAGTACCAGGAGAGAAATTCCTATTGTCCCAAATGAAATCACACACTCCTTTGCTGGGGAAAGGCAGCAAAGGTCCTGATCACATTTAGTGCCACCAAGACTGCTTATCCCTGGGAGAAATAATTCCCCTACGTGAAATAAAGCTGCCCTCAGGAAGGGAAAATGGGTGCTGAGATATATCCTTCCTTCCAAAAAGTCCACTAAAGTCCACATGCACTGACGGAGGGAGTTAGTTACATACACAAAAAGGAAAAGTCCATATGCAGTTGTCCTTTAGGACATCAACCTATTGTAATACTAAGAATATTCCCTAATTTCTCTTAATAATCTATTATAGAGCTTTCATACCTGGATTCGCTCAGATCCTTCATGAATGTCTTCTTATATAATGGATCCAAGACCACCAACTCGGATAAAATTTTTGCTGGTAGTTTTTACATAACTACTTTAGGCAAAAAATAGTACAATCGACCCTTGAACAACGTGGGGATTAGGGATGCCAACCCCTGTGCCGTCAAAAGTCTGCGTATAAGTTTTGACTTCCCAAAAACCTAACTATTAGTAGCCTGCTGTTGACTGGAAACCTTATTGATAATATACATAGCCAATTAATACATATTTTATATGGTATATGTATTAAATACTGCATTCTTATAATAAAGTAAGTTAGAGAAAAGAAAATATTATTAAGAAAATCATAAGGAAGAGAAAATACACTTTCTATTCAGTAAGTGGAAGTGGATCATCACAAAGGTCTTCATCCTCATCGTGTTCGTGTTGAGTAGGCTGAGTAGGAGGAAGAGGAGGGGTTGCTCTTGCTGTCTTATGGGTGGCAGAGGTACCACATATAAGTGAACATGCACAGTTCAAACCCATGTTGTTTGAAGGTCACCTCTACTTTGATTTGATCTAAATGACCACCTTTGAGATTCCAAGAATGTCTATATTCAGAACATGATACACAAAGACTTTTACTCACAGACGTCGTGATTTATAAAATGTGATATGCCCTCTCCTGTTCTTGGAAGTTTTGTCACATTTCTGACTCTTTGTATGTATCCCTCAACTGCAACAGGATGAAGCAGTCTAGTCATAGCCCGAGCTAGGTAAGTCCCAACCACTCAGGTGGCAACAGACAGAGCTTGATGTCCAAAGAGTGTGACAAATGATCCTAGACTTCTAAATGAAATTTGTAGAGTGTCCTGATGGAAAAATCTAAGAATGAGAAATACCCTTCATTTCTAGTCTGGTTGAGAGTCAATATCACAAAAGTTTGTCAGTGGTAGTAGGGTTCAGACCACTGAGCTGGAGTTCGGGGGCAAAACTCCAAGTCACTCATTCATGCTCTAAATGCCCCATCAGTCTATGGAGAAGGCTGTCCCAGATAGGTGCCCTTTGTCAGTGGAACTTCTCCAGTCCACCTTGTACTTGGTTCACCAGTTACTTTAATTGTGGCTTTCCTAATTCATTGATCTCCTGCATTTGGACTTTGTACTGTGAAGGGAAAATAAATCTTGGGACCCCAAAATCACTAAGCCAAGGGAAAAGTCAAACTGGGAACTACATCAGGCAAACTTGTCTCCCATTTTAATTCCTAAATAAGATAGCTAAAAATATGAGTTACCTCCCTCACAATTTGCCGACAAGGAAATTCACTGTAGACCTCAAGATCTTTACCCTAAAACAGTTCTGTTGAATTTCACAACTTATCTTCACAGGTACAAATTGTCATCGCTCTGCTCACCTGAGGCAAATGCATATCTGACTGCTTCTTCTGCCCTATTTATGTAAAAATGCAGATTCACTGAGCCAGTGTATTCAGTGAATACACTGTGTATTGTGTATTCAGTGAAAGGCTGATCAAGGACTCAAAAGAACACAGCCTTTTGTTTCTTATCTACCTATGACCTGGAAGGCCCCCACCATTATCCACTTAGAATTGTCCCACCTTACCTGACTGAACCAATGTACACCTTATGCATATTGATTGATGTCTCACATCTCCCTAAAATGTATAAAAGCAAGCTGTATCACAACCACCTTGGGCACATGTCATCAGGACCTCTTGAGGCTGTGGAATGGGTGTGTCCTTAACTTTGGTAAAATAAACTTTCTTTTTTTTTTTTTTTATTATACTTTAAGTTTTAGGGTACATGTGCACATTGTGCAGGTTAGTTACATATGTATACATGTGCCATGCTGGTGCGCTGCACCCACTAACTCGTCATCTAGCATTAGGTATATCTCCCAATGCTATCCCTCCCCCCTCCCCCCACCCCACCACAGTCCCCAGAGTGTGATGTTCCCCTTCCTGTGTCCATGTGATCTCATTGTTCAATTCCCACCTATGAGTGAGAATATGCGGTGTTTGGTTTTTTGTTCTTGCGATAGTTTACTGAGAATGATGATTTCCAATTTCATCCATGTCCCTACAGAGGACATGAACTCATCCTTTTTTATGGCTGCATAGTATTCCATGGTGTATATGTGCCACATTTTCTTAATCCAGTCTATCATTGTTGGACATTTGGGTTGGTTCCAAGTCTTTGCTATTGTGAATAATGCTGCAATAAACATATGTGTGCATGTGTCTTTATAGCAGCATGATTTATAGTCCTTTGGGTATATACTCAGTAATGGGATGGCAGGGTCAAATGGTATTTCTAGTTCTAGATCCCTGAGGAATTGCCACACTGACTTCCACAATGGTTGAACTAGTTTACAGTCCCACCAACAGTGTAAAAGTGTTCCTATTTCTCCACATCCTCTCCAGCAACTGTTGTTTCCAGACTTTTTAATGATTGCCATTCTAACTGGTGTGAGAGGGTATCTCATTGTGGTTTTGATTTGGATTTCTCTGATGGCCAGTGATGATGAGCATTTTTTCATGTGTCTTTTGGCTGCATAAATGGCTTCTTTTGAGAAGTGTCTGTTCATGTCCTTCACCCACTTTTTGATGGGGTTGTTTGTTTTTTTCTTGTAAATTTGTTTGAGTTCATTGTAGATTCCGCACATTAGCCCTTTGTCAGATGAGTAGGTTGCGAAAATTTTCTCCCATTCTGTAGGTTGCCTGTTCACTCTGATGGTAGTTTCTTTTGCTGTGTGGAAGCTCTTTAGTTTAATTAGATCCCATTTGTCAATTTTGGCTTTTGTTGCCATTGCTTTTGGTGTTTTAGACATGAAGTCCTTGCCCATGCCTATGTCCTGAATGGTACTGCCTAGGTTTTCTTCTAGGGTTTTTATGGTTTTAGGTATAACGTTTAAGTCTTTAATCCATCTTGAATTGATTTTTGTATAAGGTGTAAGGAAGGGATCCAGTTTCAGCTTTCTACATATGGCTAGCCAGTTTTCCCAGCACCATTTATTAAATAGGGAATCCTTTCCCCATTGCTTGTTTTTGTCAGGTTTGTCAAAGATCAGATAGTTGTAGATATGCGGCGTTATTTCTGAGGGCTCTGTTCTGTTCCATTGATCTATATCTCTGTTTTGGTACCAGTACCATGCTGTTTTGGTTACTGTAGCCTTGTAGTATAGTTTGAAGTCAGGTAGTGTGATGCCTCCAGCTTTGTTCTTTTGGCTTAGGATTGACTTGGCGATGTGGGCTCTTTTTTGGTTCCATATGAACTTTAAAGTAGTTTTTTCCAATTCTGTGAAGAAAGTCATTGGTAGCTTGATGGGGATGGCATTGAATCTGTAAATTACCTTGGGCAGTATGGCCATTTTCACAATATTGATTCTTCCTACCCATGAGCATGGAATGTTCTTCCATTTGTTTGTATCCTCTTTTATTTCATTGAGCAGTGGTTTGTAGTTCTCCTTGAAGAGGTCCTTCACATCCCTTGTAAGTTGGATTCCTAGGTATTTTATTCTCTTTGAAGCAATTGTGAATGGGAGTTCACTCATGATTTGGCTCTCTGTTTGTCTGTTGTTGGTGTATAAGAATGCTTTTGATTTTTGTACATTGATTTTGTATCCTGAGACTTTGCTGAAGTTGCTTATCAGCTTAAGGAGATTTTGGGCTGAGACAATGGGGTTTTCTAGATATACAATCATGTCGTCTGCAAACAGGGACAATTTGACTTCCTCTTTTCCTAATTGAATACCCTTTATTTTCTTCTCCTGCCTGATTGCCCTGGCCAGAACATCCAACACTACGTTGAATAGGAGTGGTGAGAGAGGGCATCCCTGTCTTGTGCCAGTTTTCAAAGGGAATGCTTCCAGTTTTTGCCCATTCAGTATGATATTGGCCCTGGGTTTGTCATAGATAGCTCTTATTATTTTGAAATACGTCCCATCAATACCTAATTTATTGAGAGTTTTTAGCATGAAGGGTTGTTGAATTTTGTCAAAGGCCTTTTCTGCATCTATTGAGATAATCATGTGGTTTTTGTCTTTGGCTCTGTTTATATGCTGGATTACATTTATTGGTTTGCGTATGTTGAACCAGCCTTGCATCCCAGGGATGAAGCCCACTTGATCATGGTGGATAAGCTTTTTGATGTGCTGCTGGATTCGTTTTGCCAGTATTTTATTGAGGAATTTTGCATCAATGTTCATCAAGGATATTGGTCTAAAATTCTCTTTTTTGGTTGTGTCTCTGCCCGGCTTTGGTATCAGAATGATGCTGGCCTCATAAAATGAGTTAGGGAGGATTCCTTCTTTTTCTATTGATTGGAATAGTTTCAGAAGGAATGGTACCAGTTCCTCCTTGTACCTCTGGTGGAATTCGGCTGTGAATCCATCTGGTCCTGGACTCTTTTTGGTTGGTAAACTATTGATTATTGCCACAATTGCAGATCCTGTTATTGGTCTATTCAGAGATTCAACTTCTTCCGGGTGTAGTCTTGGGAGAGTGTATGTGTTGAGGAATTTATCCATTTCTTCTAGATTTTCTAGTTTATTTGCGTAGAGGTGTTTGTAGTATTCTCTGATGGTAGTTTGTATTTCTGTGGGATCGGTGGTGATATCCCCTTTATCATTTTTTATTGCGTCTATTTGATTCTTCTCTCTTTTTTTCTTTATTAGTCTTGCTAGCGGTCTATCAATTTTGTTGATCCTTTCAAAAAACCAGCTCCTGGATTCATTAATTTTTTGAAGGGTTTTTTGTGTCTCTATTTCCTTCAGTTCTGCTCTGATTTTAGTTATTTCTTGCCTTCTGCTAGCTTTTGAATGTGTTTGCTCTTGCTTTTCTAGTTCTTTTAATTGTGATGTTAGGGTGTCAATTTTCGATCTTTCCTGCTTTCTCTTGTGGGCATTTAGTGCTATAAATTTCCCTCTACACACTGCTTTGAATGCGTCCCAGAGATTCTGGTATGTTGTGTCTTTGTTCTCATTGGTTTCAAAGAACATCTTTATTTCTGCCTCCATTTCATTATGTACCCAGTAGTCATTCAGGAGCAGGTTGTTCAGTTTCCATGTAGTTGAGTGGTTTTGAGTGAGATTCTTAATCCTGAGTTCTAGTTTGATTGCACTGTGGTCTGAGAGATAGTTTGTTATAATTTGTTCTTTTACATTTGCTGAGGAGAGCTTTACTTCCAACTATGTGGTCAATTTTGGAATAGGTGTGGTGTGGTGCTGAAAAAAATGTATATTGTGTTGATTTGGGGTGGAGAGTTCTATAGATGTCTATTAGGTCCACTTGGTGCAGAGCTGAGTTCAATTCCTGGGTATCCTTGTTGACTTTCTGTCTCATTGATCTGTCTAATGTTGACAGTGGGGTGTTAAAGTCTCCCATTATTAATGTGTGGGAGTCTAAGTCTCTTTGTAGGTCACTCAGGACTTGCTTTATGAATCTGGGTGCTCCTGTATTGGGTGCATATATATTTAGGATAGTTAGCTCTTCTTGTTGAATTGATCCTTTTACCATTATGTAATGGCCTTCTTTGTCTCTTTTGATCTTTGTTGGTTTAAAGTCTGTTTTATCAGAGACTAGGATTGCAACCCCTGCCTTTTTTTGTTTTCTGGATATGAAATTCTGGGTTGAAAATTCTTTTCTTTAAGAATGTTGAATATTGGCCCCCACTCTCTTCTGGCTTGTAGGGTTTCTACCAAGAGATCCGCTGTTAGTCTGATGGGTTTCCCTTTGAGGGTAACCCGACCTTTCTCTCTGGCTGCCCTTAACATTTTTTCCTTCATTTCAACTTTGGGGAATCTGACAATTATGTGTCTTGGAGTTGCTCTTCTCGAGGAGTATTTTGTGGTGTTCTCTGTATTTCCTGAATCTGAACGTTGGCCTGCCTTGCTAGATTGGGGAAGTTCTCCTGGATAATATCCTGCAGAGTGTTTTCCAACTTGGTTCCATTCTCCCCATCACTTTCAGGTACACCAATCAGATGTAGATTTGGTCTTTTCACATAGTCCCATATTTCTTGGAGGCTTTGCTCATTTCTTTTTATTCTTTTTTCTCTAAACTTCCCTTCTCGCTTCATTTCATTCATTTCATCTTCCATCGGTAATACCCTTTCTTCCAGTTGATCGCATCAGCTCCTGAGGCTTCTGCATTCTTCACGTAGTTCTCGAGCCTTGGTTTTCAGCTCCATCAGCTCCTTTAAGCACTTCTCTGTATTGGTTATTCTAGTTATACATTCTTCTAAATTTTTTTCAAAGTTTTCAACTTCTTTGCCTTTGGTTTGAATGTCCTCCCGTAGCTCAGAGTAATTTGATCGTCTGAAGCCTTCTTCTCTCAGCTTGTCAAAGTCATTCTCCATCCAGCTTTGTTCCGTTGCTGGTGAGGAACTGCATTCCTTTGGAGGAGGAGAGGCGCTCTGCGTTTTAGAGTTTCCAGTTTTTCTGTTCTGTTTTTCCCCCATCTTTGTGGTTTTATCTACTTTTGGTCTTTGATGATGGTGATGTACAGATGGGTTTTTGGTGTGGATGTCCTTTCTGTTTGTTAGTTTTCCTTCTAACAGACAGGACCCTCAGCTGCAAGTCTGTTGGAATACCCTGCCGTGTGAGGTGTCAGTCTTCCCCTGCTGGGGGGTGCCTCCCAGTTAGGCTGCTCAGGTGTCAGGGGTCAGGGACCCACTTGAGGAGGCAGTCTGCCCGTTCTCAGATCTCCAGCTGCGTGCTGGGAGAACCACTGCTCTCTTCAAAGCTGTCAGACAGGGACATTTAAGTCTGCAGAGGTTACTGCTGTCTTTTTGTTTGTCTGTGCCCTGCCCCCAGAGGTGGAGCCTACAGAGGCAGGCAGGCCTCCTTGAGCTGTGGTGGGCTCCACCCAGTTCGAGCTGCCCGGCTGCTTTGTTTACCTAAGCAAGCCTGGGCAATGGCGGGCGCCCCTCCCCCAGCCTCGCTGCCGCCTTGCAGTTTGATCTCAGACATCTGTGCTAGCAATCAACGAGACTCCGTGGGCGTAGGACCCTCCGAGCCAGGTGTGGGATATAATCTCGTGGTGCGCCGTTTTTTAAGCCAGTCGGAAAAGCGCAGTATTCGGGTGGGAGTGACCCGATTTTCCAGGTGAATCCGTCACCCCTTTCTTTGACTCGGAAAGGGAACTCCCTGACCCCTTGCGCTTCCCAAGTGAGGCAATGCCTCGCCCTGCTTCGGCTCGCGCACGGTGCGCGCACCCACTGACCTGCGCCCACTGTCTGGCACTCCCTAGTGAGATGAACCCGGTACCTCAGATGGAAATGCAGAAATCACCCGTCTTCTGCGTCGCTCACGCTGGGAGCTGTAGACCAGAGCTGTTCCTATTCGGCCATCTTGGCTCCTCCACAGAGCGGTAAAATAAACTTTCTAAATTTACTGAGCCCTGTCTCAGATATTTTGGGTTCACAGTACCTTAGCCCCCTTTGCCTTTGTAACAAGCCTGGCTTGCTTTCTAACAAGCTCCTGGCTTTTGACCTTGGTTGTATGTCTGCTCTCCATCCTCTGTGTCCAGTTCACTGTGGCACTAGACAGGGCACTAAGGGCGCTCTGTTCTGGAGCCTGGCTGGACTCTCCTTCAACTAGGGGAAAATTGGACAAGGAGGAGCTAGGCCATCTGTAGGGATGCTGTATCCCTCCTGTTGACCCTCAGGTTTAGTCCTGGGACAAGCTGTGAGGAAGGGTGGAAAGCAGAGGCTGCAAATTGGCCAAAGCTTAACATTCGCCTGTGAATATCCCCCGCTGGGTTAGCCTTTCAGCCTGGTTGATATTCTATCTGCTCTTCTTAACTTTACGAGCTCCTGAGGAGAGGTAATTGTAAGTTTACGAGCTCCTGAGGAGAGGTAATTGTAAGTCTACATAGGAATTAAGGTGCAGATAAATCATGTTTGTGACCTGGCTAAAAGTTTTGCTCTGAATTTTCCTCACATATATAATAGGCTTATTTAGCCTCAGTAATACAGTGGGATATTTGGGGAGGGAGAATAAATTAGATATAGTACTTCTTAATTCCTATTTTAAGAGTCTCTATTCTTAAAAGATTATCTTGTTTAAACATTCAGATTATATTCCTCTAAAGATATTTTTTAGTCTCTTTTTGGCCTTTCAAAAACTTCTGACAGTAATTTCTACGCACTTGGAAATTAACTCTCACAGGGGGTTGCAAAATGGTGCCCCAGGCTTTTACTGGCCCATCAGGCATGATGTGTTTTGCCATTTACTATGTTTGTATTTCAACAATTGCATTTAAAAAATATTTCCAAGTGGTTCTTCATAATTGCTTGTTCACGCGTCATGTTCCTGACATTATTCCTTATTTTTATAAAGACATTTATTGTGTTTATTTTGAATTCCCATTCTGTCTGTTCTACTGGTTCTGCTTTCTCTTTAGTAGGGTGTTCTGTTTATCATCTGTCTGTTGCAGGCTGTTGTTCTTCAGATGTCACATAATATCCTCCCCTCCCAGCTGTAAATTTATCTTTATTGCTTTGAGACAACAATAGTTCTATGGCAATACTTAGCTGTGGGTTTTTTTTTTTCTTTGAATGTAAAACACTTAGAATAGTGACTGGTGAAGAAAGCACTCAATACTTGCTAGCTAGGGTGTATTTTCTATGGCTACATAACAAATTACCCCAGACAGCGGCTTAAAACTACACGTGTTTATTATGTCATAGTTCTACAGGTTAGAAATCTGCAGGTTCATCTGGGGTCCCTAGCTCAGGGAGTCCGTGTCAGGCTGGCCTCCTACATCTGGAGGCTCTGGGAAAGAATCCACTTCCAGGCTCATTCAGGTTGTTGGCAGAATTGCTTCTTGCAGTTGTTAGATGGATTTAGTCTTTTCTTGTCTTCAGTTGGATCACTGTTACCTTTTAGAAGCTTCCCTCTGTTACTTGCCATGGGGCCCCTCCATTTCAGAGCCCCTGTACTGCCTCATCAACTCCTTCTCATGGTTGGAATAGCTCTGACTTTCTCTTTGGCTACTCTTTTAAATAAGTTTAAATGGCACATGTGATTAGATTGTGCCCACCTGGGAAAACCTCCCTTTTGCTTAATTCAAAGTCAGCTGTCTACTGCAATAATTTGCTAGTGTGCCATCACAAAACACTGGAAACTGGGTGGTTTAAACAACAGAAATGTATTGTCTCAACAGTTCTGGAGGCTGAAAGTCTGAAATGGAGGCATCTGGTGGGTTGGAAACTTCTGAGGACTGTGAGGGAGAATTCATTCCATGCCTCTCTCCTAGATTCTCCCAGCCTTATGCATTCGTTGGCTTGTAGACGGCCTTCTCCCTACTAGTAAGGGGAAGACATTACTAGTATCTGTCTGTATACAAATTCCTTGGCTTGTAGATGGCCTTCTCCCTTACTAGTATCTGTCTGTATACAAATTTCTCCACCTTTTAAAAATCTAGACATAAGTCATAATGGTTTAGGGCCCACCCTAATGACCTACCTCATTTTAACTTGAACATCTGTAAAGCCCCTATTTTTCTTTCTTTCTTTTTTCTTTTTTTTTTTTGAGACAGAGTCTCGCTCTGTCACCCAAGCTGGGGCACAATGGTGCCATTACGGCTCACTGCAGAGGTTCCAGGGTTCAAACGATTCTCCTGCCTCAGCCTCCCGAGTAGCAGGGATTACAGATGCATGCCACCACACCCAGCTAATTTTTGTATTTTTAGTAGAGATGGGGTTTTACCATGTTGGTCAGGCTGGTCTTGAACTCCTGACCTCAAGTGATCCACCCGCCTAGGCCTTCCAAAGTGCTGGGATTATAGGCATGAGCCATCGTGCCTGGTCCATCTTTCTAAATAAGGTCATGTTCTCAGGGACTGGGAGTTAGGAGTTCAGCATC
The DNA here is from genome assembly GCF_000001405.40 of Homo sapiens. Lineage (NCBI taxonomy): Eukaryota > Metazoa > Chordata > Mammalia > Primates > Hominidae > Homo > Homo sapiens. Next base: position 110,413,952 of record NC_000004.12, read on the forward strand.
CTTTAAAACCCATAAGAATTAGTAACCTGAATTAATCTGCAAAATAAATGAGGGAACAGAGGCCAAAGAGGGTAAACCACTATCAGATGGACTAGAACCCAGGCACGAGGACTCATTACTTCAGCCTTTCATCCTCTGTGTGTGTTCACAGTCCCCATTTAAATATGTATGTTGTATCAAGGACTACAATAGTAATTTGGAGTTTGGGAAAATTGCATATCCTGCGCTGATGGACTGGAAGATGAGATGTGCTTTAGGCAGAGCCTGTTTATCAATAGGTGAGTGGCTATGAAATGGGGGTAGGAACCCATAGGGAAGAAACTAGATGATCTGCTGAAAATGAGAAGAAAAATGAGCTGCTGGACCTGCCAGCTGGCACCACTGCTCAAGTGGATTATGAACTGAATATAGAAAATATGAGGGAACAAAGAGCTGTATGAGTGTTCACAGCTGTTCTCCTCACATGCATGACCCCTTCTCAAACATATTTTCTGAACGAATCACTCTCAGCAGGAAAGTGGTCTCTCTACTAGGAATAACAAACAAGACAGTCTCTACAACTACTTGGGCAAAGAGAAGCTTTGCCATGGAGAGGTCTGCTCTTACCTGTGTTTCGCAGAATGCTCTGCAGAGAAACACTCACTTTGTTCATGATTTGTCTAATTCCTGGAAAACATCAGCACTGCAATTTAGTTTTAGAGTCTGTTGAAAAGATGTGCTGGCATTAAAAAAAATTAAGAAACTATGCTGTGAACTGCAGACTTTCTGAGAAATCTGGAATAGTTTGGCCCACACATTTCCTCTCAATTGAGAACACAAGGTTTGGAATCAGGCCAGGTGACCTAGGTTATAGCTCTGGCTCTAACTACATGACCTTGTCCAAGTTACTTAATGTTCATAAACCTCCATTTATCTATCAATAAACAGGACTAATAATACATACATACCTCATGGGGATGCTGTGAAGATGAGATGAAATCCATCATCAAGGAATGTTAGCCAGAATCAGAATCCTTATCACCACTACATTCTCAAAGTCTCCTTAGATCCAAATTGAACATTTTTAGGAATAATTTTTAAAAATAAAATCTATCTTTTCTTTGTAAATTTGCTTTTTAGTTTAATGCTTAATGTTTTGGTCAGTTGAATGAACTCTTTCAGCATCCTAAAATTATGTTAATATTGAGGAAAATATTGCTTACTAAATTTTTTGGATTAGAAAATAGTGCATGAATGCAGTAAATTCTCTGGATTCAGAGTCCCGAGTGCTCACCATTACGCCAGAGAGCCCCATGATAAAATGCAGTAAATTCTCTTGCCAGGATTGCAAGCTGACTCAATTGAAAGAATACCGTTTTATTTTTCTTATTTATTTATTTAGACAGAGCCTCTGTAGCCCAGGCTGGAGTGCAGTGGTGTGATCATAACTCACTGTAGCCCTGAATATCAGGGTTCAAGTGATCCTCCCATCTCAGCCTCCCAAGTAGCTGGAACTACAGATGGGCACTACCATGTCTGGCTAATTTTAAATTTTTTGTAGAGATGGTGTCTTGCTATGTTGCCCAGGTTGGTCTCAAACTCCTGAACTCAAGTGATCCCCCTGCCTTCACCTCCCAAAGTGTTGGGATTACAGGCATGAGCCACCACATCTAGCCAGGGAAAAGAATACTAAGTGTGAACATCAAGAACCTTGATGTTACGTAACAACCTTGTCACCAGCCAGTGATATATCCTCCAGTGCCTTAAATATTGGCTTCCTTGTTCATCAGATTTAGTAACTAATGAGGCATAACTGAGTAAGCAATAAAGGACTCATAAAAGAAGGGTCTCAAGTTCTCTGGTGCTGCTATATCAGGGGCGTGGGGTCCCCACAGACCTGGAAATTCCGGCCCTTCTTTCTCAACTCAGAGAAAATTGAGACATCCGGGATTGATTTCCAAAGACTCATGTTATGTAAAGAAGCCACCAAGAAGAGCAAAGAAAAGGAGCCAGGGATAGCAGCTCTTCCTCAGGGACACTTGACTTTCAGGGATGTGGCTATATAATTCTCAGTGGAGTTGGGAGGCCGAGGCGGGCGGATCATGAGGTCAGGAGAGATTGAGCCCACAGTGAAACCCCATCTCTACTAAACATACAAAAAATTAGCCGGGCCTGGTGGCAGGCGCCTGTAGTCCCAGCTACTTGGGAGGCTGAGACAGGAGAATGGCTTGAACCTGGGAGGCGGAGCTTGCAGTGAGCCGAGATCGCGCCACTACACTCCAGCCTGGGTGACACAGCAAGACTCCATCTCAAAAAAAAAAAAAAAAAAAAATTCTCAGTGGAGGAGTGGAAATGCCTGTACCCTGTGCAGAGGCCTTTATACAGGGACGTGATGTTGGAGAACTACAGGAACCTAGAGTCTGTGGATAGCTCTTTAAAATCCATGATGGAGTTCTCATCAACAGGGCAAGGCAATGGGGAAGTGTTCCACATAGGGATTTTGGAAAGACATGAAAATCATCACACTGGAGATTTTTGCTTCCCAGAAACCGAGAAAGATATTCATGACTTTGAGTTTCAGTGGCAAGAAATGGAAAGAAATGGCCATGAAGCACCCATGACAGAAACCAAAGAGTTAACTGGTAGTACAGACTGACATGATCAACGGCATGCTGGAAACAAGCCTATTAAAGGTCAGCTTGGATTAAGCTTTCATTTGCATCTGCCTGAACTGCACATATTTCAGACTGAACAGAAAATTGGTAATCAAGTGGACCAGTCTATCAATGATGCTTCCTCAGCTTCAACATCCCAAATAATTTCTTGTAGGCTCAAAACCCATCTTTCTAATAAGTATGGGAAGAATTTCCTCCATTCTTCATTATTCCCACAAATACAGGAAGTACACAAGAGAGAAAAACCTTTCCAATGTAATGAGTATGGCAAAGCCTTTAATTATAGCTCACACTTAAGGAGACATCACATAACCCATTCAGGAGAGAAATAATGTAAATGTGATGTATGTGGCAAAGTCTTTCATGAGAAGTAATACCTTGCATGCCACCATAGAGTTCATACTGGAGAGAAACCTTACAAGTGTAATGAGTGTAGCAAGACCTTCAATCAGAAGTCATCCCTTCAATGCTGTCATAGACTTCATACTGGACAGAAACCTTACAAATGAGAAGAATGTGACAAAGTTTACAGTTGCAGATCACAACTTGAAACACATAGGAGAATTCATACTGGAGAAAAACCATACAAATGTAAGGTTTGTCACAAGGCTTTCTGGGATAATTCATGCCTTTCACACCTGAAGAGTTCATACTGGAGGGAAACCTTATGAGTGTAAGGTTTGTGACAAGGTTTTCTGGCATGATTCATGCCTTGCACAACATCAGAGAGTTCATACTGGGGAGAAACCTTACAAGTGTAATAAGTGTGGCAAGACCTTTGCTCAAAATTCAGGTCTTGTAATGCATAAGGCATTTCATAATGGAAAGAAACCTTACACATGTAATGAATGTGGCAAGGTTTTTAGTCAAAAAGCAAATCTTGTATGTCATTATAGATGTCATACTGGAGAGAAACCATAGAAGTGTAATGAGTGTGGCAAGACCTTCACTTGAAATTCAGCCCTTGTAATTCATAAAGCAATTCATACTGGAGACAAATCTTACAAGTATAATGACTGTGGCAAGGTTTCTTTTTTTTTTCTTTTTCTTTTTTTTTTTTTTGAGACAGAGTCTCACTCTGTTGCCCAGGCTGGAGTGCAGTGACGCGATCTTGGCTCACTGCAACCTCCACCTCCCAGGTTCATGCCATTTTCCTGCCTCAGCCTCCTGAGTAGCTGGGACTACAGGTGCCCACCAACACGCCTGGCTAATTTTTTGTATTTTTGGTAGAGACGGGGTTTCACCATGTTGTCCAGGATGGTCTCGATCTCCTGACCTCGTGATCCGCCTGCCTCGGCCTCCCAAGGTGCTGGGATTACAGGCGTGAGCCACCACACCCAGCCGAATGTGGCAAGGTGTCTAATCAACAATCAAACCTTGCACAACATCAGAGAGTTCATACTGGAGGGAAACCTTACAAGTGTAATGAGTATGGCAAAGCCTTTAGTGGGCAGTCAACACTTATTCATCATCAAGCAATCCATGGTATAGGGAAACTTTACAAATGTAATGATTCTTACAAAGTCTTCAGTAACGCTACAACCTTTGCAAAACATTAGAGAATCCATAATGAAGAGAGATCTTACAAGTGTAGTAAATGTGGCAAATTTTTCAGATATCGATCATACCTTGCAGTTGATTGGCGAACTCATACTGGAGAGAAACCTTACAAATGTGATGATTGCGGCAAGGTCTTCAGTCAAGCTTCATCTTATGCAAAACATAGGAGAATTCATACAGGAGAGAAACCTCAAGTGTGATGATTGTGGCAGTCTTGACTTCACTTTCACACAGGATTAAACATCAGAGAATCTATACTGGACAGAATCTTAAAAATGTCGTAAGTGTGGCAAGGTCTTCAGTCCGAGGTCAATCCTTGCAGAACATCAGAAAATTCATTTTTGAGATAATTTTTCCAAATACAATGACTATAGAAAATCATAAAGCTTTAATTGACATTAGAGCCAATTCAGCATTGACTTGAGATTGAGTTGACAACATTGAGTTCAAGCATTATTGACATTAAAGTGTTTATGTTAAGAAGATTAGGCCGGGTGGGGTGGCTCACGCCTGTGGTCCCAGCACTTTGGGAGGCCAAGGCTGACAGATCACAGCCACACCTGGCTACGAGGGGGTGGAGGCCGCTGTGGGGCAGGGGCCTGGCTAGAATGGACGGGACCTCGAACAGGATCTGGGCGCGGCAAGAATGGGGAGGCTGCTTGGGGGCCGGGCAAGCAGAGGGAAGGGGCGGGGCCAGAGGGTGATCGTCATCTTGGGGGCGAGGTCTGGAAGGGGTGTCTGAAGGGCAGGGCCTGGAGGGGGCGGGTCCTGGCTTTCTCCTCAGTTGGGCCCCAGATGTCGCCTGCTGTCATCCTCTTGCCCTGCAGGACTGGATCCTCCGGATACTGATTGGTGGACTGTTACTGATGTGCTGTGATATTACCCCTAATATCACAGGGATGCTTCATCCGTTTTAAGTTAATATTTCAAACAATCGAAGGTAAAACAACATATTTATTGGGCAACCTGTAATGAACGCTGAATCGTTTTTCCTCTTAAGTTGAAAATGGTTTTAATGCAAAGTGCCTTTTCTGAGCAGGTAGAGTCACGCATCCTGCAGGCAGTGCAAGCTCCCCTCCGTCTGGGGCAGGGCGGGGCGGAGGGGCAGGGACCTCGGTAAAGGGGTGGAGTGGGGCACTGGTTGCAGCAGGGACTGACAATTAGAACGGCTTATTAAGCAAGGTCCTGGGTTGTTTGAGTGGATAATGGAAACTGAACGGTGACATGCAAAACTGCCTACTACACAAAGGAAGTGAAGGACAATTTTATATTTCATGGAAATAAAGTCAGGGCCCGGAGCAGTGGCTCGCGCCTGTGATCCCAGCACTTTGAGAGGCTGAGGCAGGAGGATGGCTTAAGCCTAGGTGTTTGAGATCAGCTTGGGCAGCGTGGTGAGACCTCATCTATACTAAAAAAATAAAATAAAAAAAAAAATAAGCCAGGTGTGGTGGTGCACACCTGTGGTCCCAGCTGCTCGGGGCACTGAGGTCGGAGGATCGCTTAAGCCAGAAAGTTGGAGGCTGCAGTGAGCTCTGATCTCGCCACCACACTCCAGACTGGATGACAAAGCTAGACCCTGTCTCAAACAAACAAGCAAATAAATGAGAGGTTTATTTAAAATAAACCTTTAAAAATAAAGGAAGAGATTTTCTTTCCTTTTGTCTCTTTTCTTAGCACACTCAGAAAATTTGTAAATGCATTTTCTCTGACTTCTGAGGTGTGTGTGTGTGTATGTGTGTTTTTTTTTTTTTTTTTTTTTTTTTTTTTTTACGGAGTTTTTCTCTTGTTACCCAGGCTGGAGTGCAAGGCACGATCTTGCCTCACCACAACCTCCTACTCCTGGGTTCAGGCGATTCTCCTGCCTTGGCTTCCCAAGTAACTGGGATTACAGGCATGAGCCACTATGCCTGGCAAACTTTGGTTTTTTGAGAAACTAAATCTTTTTTCAGCTTAATGACCCAGGGAAGTATTTCTGAAAGACTTGGGAGCTCTCTTTGGAAGGCAAACAACAAAGGAGACAGTACCTTTATCTAGAAGAAATAGATAAATTCCTGGACACATACACCCTCCCAAGACTAAACCAGGAAGTAGTTGAATCCCTGAATAGACCAATAACAGGCTCTGAAATTGAGGAAATAATTAATAGCCTACCAACCAAAAAAAGTCCAGGACCAGAAGGATTCACAGCCGAATTCTACCAGAGGTACAAGGAAGAGCTGGTACCATTCATTCTGAAACTATTCCAATCAACAGAAAAAGAGGGAATCCTCCCTAACTCATTTTATGAGGCCAGCATCATCCTGATAACAAAGGCTGGCAGAGACACAATAAAAAAAGAGAATTTTAGACCAATATTCCTGATTAACATCGATGAGAAAATGCTAAGTAAAATACTGGCAAACCGAATCCAGCAGCACATCAAAAAGCTTATCTACCAAGATCAAGTTGGCTTCATCCCTGGGATGCAAGGCTGGTTCAACATACGCAAATTAATAAATGCAATCCGTCACATAAACAGAACCAAAGACAAAAACCACATTGATTATCTCAATAGAAGCAGGAAAGGCCATTGACAAAATTCAACAGCACTTCATGCTAAAAACTCAATAAACTAGGTATTCATGGAATGTATCTCAAAATAATAAGAGCTATTTATGACAAACCCACAGCCAATATAATACTGAATGAGCAAAAACCGGAAGCATTCCCTTTGAAAACTGGCACAAGACAGGGATGCCCTCTCTCACCATTCCTATTCAATATAGTGTTGGAAGTTCTGGCCAGGGCAATCAGGCAAGAGAAAGAAATAAAGGGTATTCAATTAGGAAAAGAGGAAGTCAAATTGTCCCTGTTTGCAGATGACATGATTGTATATCTAGAAAACCCCATCATCTCAGCCCCAAATCTCCTTAAGCTGATAAGCAACTACAGCAAAGTCTCAGGATACAAAATCAATGTGCAAAAATCACAAGCATTCCTATACACCAATGATAGACAAACAGAGAGCCAAATAATGAGTGAACTCCCATTCACAATTGCTACAAAGAGAATAAAATACCTAGGAATTCAACTTACAAGGGATGTGAAGGACCTCTTCAAGGAGAACTACATGCTCAATGAAATAAAAGAGGACACAAACAAATGGAAAAACACTCCATGCTTATGGATAGGAAGAATCAATATCATGAAAATGGCCATACTGCCCAAGGTAATTTATAGATTCAGTGCCATCCCCATCAAGCTACCAATGACTTTCTTCACAGAACTGGAAAAAACTACTTTAAAGTTCATATGGAACTGAAAAAGAGCCCACATTGCCAAGACAATCCTAAGCCAAAAGAACAAAGCTGGAGGCATCACACTACCTGACTTCAAACTATACTACAAGGCTACAGTAACCAAACAGCATGGTACAGGTACCAAAACAGAGATATAGACCAGTGGAACAGAACAGAGACCTCAGAAATAACACCACACATCTACAATCATCTGATCTTTGACAAACCTAACAAAAACAAGAAATGGGGAAAGGATTCCCTACTTAATAAATGGTGCTGGGGAAACTAGCCATATGTAGAAAGCTGAAACTAGATCCCTTCCTTACACCTTATACAAAAATTAATTCAAGATGGATTAAAGACTTAAATGTTAGACCTAAAACCATAAAAGCCCTAGAAGAAAACCTAGTAAATACCATTCAGGACATAGGCACGGGCAAATGCTTCATGACTAAAACACCAAAAGTAATGGCAACAAAAGCCAGAATTGACAAATGGGATCTAATTAAACTCAAGAGCTTATGTACAGCAAAAGAAACTACCATCAGAGTGAACAGGCAACCTACAGAAAGGGAGAAAATTTTTGCAATCTACTCATCTGTCAAAGGGTTGATATCCAGAATCTACAAATAACTTAAACAAATTTACAAGAAAAAATCAAACCACCCCATTCAAAAGTGAGCAAAGGATATGAACAGACACTTCTCAAAAGAAGACATTTATGCAGCCAACAGACACATGAAAAAATGCTCATCATTTGATGACCATCAAATAGTCATCAGAGAAATGCAAATCAAAACCACAATGAGATACCATCTCACACCAGTTAGAATGGCGATCATTAAAAAGTCAGGAAACAACACATGCTGGAGAGGATGTGGAGAAATAGGAACACTTTAACACTGTTGGTGAGACTGTAAACTAGTTCAACCATTGTTGAAGACAGTGTGGCTATTCCTCAAGGATCTAGAACTAGAAATACCATTTGACCCAGTGATCCCATTACTGGGTATATACCCAAAGGATTATAAATCATGCTGCTATAAAGACACATGCACACGTATATATTGCGGCACTATTCACAATAACAAAGGCTTGGAACCAGCTCAAATGTCCATCAATGATAGACTGGATTAAGAAAATGTGGCACATATACACCATGGAATACTATGCAGCTAGAAAAAAGGATGAGTTCATGTCCTTTGTAGGGACATGGACGAAGCTGGAAACCATCATTCTGAACAAACTGTCACAAGGGCAAAAAACCAACCACCACATGTTCTCACTCATAGGTGAGAATTGAACAATGAGAACACTTGGACACACCAGGGCCTGGCATGGATCGGGGATGGAGGAGGGATAACATTAGGAGAAATACCTAATGTAAATGATGAGTTAATGAGTGCAGCAAACCAGCATGGCACATGTATACATATGTAACAAATCTTGTGCACATGTACCCTACAACTTAATGTATATATATACACAAAGAATGAGTTTAAGAATAGAAATTTCTAGAAATTAGTTGGCAATCTGCAACTGGGATTTCAGCAGTAAAGACTGAAAATGTCAAAGTTAGGATAATCAATTGGACAGAATATTTGATGTTATTAGAGTGAATGATAAGTTTGATGATAAATTTATAGATATGAAAAGAGCTAGATGGCCATAAATTATCTTTGGGAAGAAGAGTTGGAACTAGAGGAAGAGAGGTCAAGGAAGATTCACAATAGTCTATGCATCATTATAAATGTGCACATGTCCTCATAATCAGGCAGTAATGTTTGAAGATACAGGTGAGTGCCTGAAATGAAGAAATACAACTTTTGCTAAAACATGCTGACCAAAAATAAAAATAAAAAGAAGAAGGCTGGTTGCGGTGGCTCACGTCTGTAATCCCAGCACTTTGGGAGGCTGAGGCAGGTGATCATCTGAGGTCAGGAGTTCAAGACCAGCCTGGCCAACATGGTGAAACCCTGTCTCTACTAAAAATAAAAAAATTAGCTAGGCATAGTGGCACATGCCTGTAATCCCAGCTAGTAGTGGGGCTGAGGCAGAAGGATCGCTTCAACCTGGGAGATGGAGTTTGCAGTGAGCCGAGATCATGCCACTGCCCTCCAGCCTGGCCACAGAGTGAGACTCTGTCTCAAAAAATAAATAACTAAATAAATAATAAAATAAAATAAAAGGAAAAGAAGAAGAAGAAAAAGAAAAGAAAGACAAGAGGAAAAAGTCTTTGGTCCTAACAAAGCACTGAGTAGGCATGAGGTTTGATAGTCGATATCCATTGAATTTAACCCTTAAGAAAATTTTTTGTGGCTTTCAACACTGCTGGTTCATCAGAGGAGTAGATGGGTTACAAACCATCTTGCTGGGAATCAATAGGAAAGTGAATGATGCGAAAGTAGAGAGAAATCCTGTGAGTTTAGGAGTGAAAAGAAGGAAAGACTCCATATGGTAGCCAAAAGGGATGAGAAGGGGAAGGGAAAAGAAATATGCAATCTATGGAGATAGAGAGATGGAAGCATATTATCAGGGAACAGTTGAGGTAAGATCACAGGGCATTCACATAATCAAGTGGAGTTAACCTTTGAAATGTTAGCCTAAAATAGTAATAATCTTTAAATATTTACTTATTTGGCAGAATGATTAGCTTAGAAGAAAACTCTTTGTTAAAAAGCAACTTCTCTGTTTCTGGAATTCATCATTATTTTAAATAAAGGTAGACTGTAACTAGACCAAGTTATAAATGTGTTGGTGTTAAAAGGTGTGATATTACCTTATTAATTTGAATGACTGGCGCTGATTTCCTCCAATTTAAAAATTTTATTTAGCTAGTTCTAACAATCCCCAGGGAGTCTTGTTTTGCTTGACAGCTGCCTCTGATGCTGGCACACAGTGACCTCTTTCCAACCTTCTGCATCCAGCCTTTACGAGAAGGGGAGCTAACAAACTAATTAGACTGGTAGCTTAAAAAAATATCAATCTTGGTACACACCCAGGCCAAAAAGTCTTACATGTACAAAAACAGAACATTTGTGTCTGCCCAACTGTCCAATACTGCTAGCCTCAGGCTTTTATCTTACACTTAAAAACTGGTTTTATTTTGCACTTTGGCATACTGTATAGAAGTTTGACACATTTGTAGGATAAAAACTGCATTTGAAATGATGAGATCTACATTGGGAAAATTATGTGTGAACAAATTTGGAGATATAACCGAATAATTTGTCATTGATGGAAATGTGCAAGCTCTGCCTCCCGAGTTCAAGTGATTCTCCTGCCTCAGCCTCCCGAGTAGCTGGGACTACAGGTGCACACCACCATGCCTGGCTAATTCTTGTATTTTCAGTAGAGATGGGGTTTCACCATGTTGGCCAGGCTGGTCTCCAACTCCTGGCCTCATGCAATCCACCCGCCTTGGCCTCCCAGAGTGTTGGGATTACAGCCATGAGCCACTGCACCCACCCAAAAATGGGTTAATTTCTTGTACCACATAAAGAAAAAAAAAAACATGTATTAATAGTTGGCTTGTGAAAGATGGTATTTTCTGCCCAGCTCCTGGTAGAATTTTTTTTGCTGAACATGACTATCATGTCAGTGGGGTTTTAGTTATCAGTGCCAGAAGGGAAGTCAAAGATAAGGCACAATATTTCTCAATCCACTGGTCACCTGCATCAGAATTACTCAAGATGTTGTTTAAAAAAATACAGCTTCCTGCTGGGCTCATGCTTGTAATCCCAGCACTTTGGGAGGCTGAGGTGGGTGGATCACGAGGTCAGGAGTTCGAGACCAGCCTGGCCAGTATGGTGAAACCCTGTCTCTACTAAAAATACAAAAATTAGCTGGGTTTGTTGGCATGCGCCTGTAGTCCCAGCTGCTTGGGAGGCTGAGGCAGGAGAATCGCTTGAACCCGGGAGGCGGAGGTTGCAGTGAGCAGAGACAGTGCCACTGCACTCCAGGCTGGGCAACAGAGCAAGGCTCTGTCTAAAAAAAAAGCAGATTCCAAGTTTTCATACTGGCTGTACTGAATCTCTGCAGGAGGTTCCTGATAATTTACTATTTTAATAAGCACTTAGGTGTTTCTTATGAAAACCAAAGTTTGAGAACTAGATTTTGAAACATACAACTATACTTAGCCTCAGTACTGTTTAGAGGGAATAAAAATTGGCGTATCCTTTATAATGTGCCCACTTTTCATGCAATCTCTTTACCAGAATTTAAAATGTACGCATCCTTTGACACAGCCATTCCATTTCTAGGAATTTATCTAACAGAATAATTGAGTAAGTGTGCAAGGACATATGTTAAAAAAACTATCCATTACAAAATTGGCTATTGTAGGAGAAAAGTGGTAATAACTTAAATGCCTACCAAGGAATGTTGTGTATCAAATACTGTTCTAAGCACTTCAAAAGCAGTTAAGTCATTTAATCCTCATAACATTATATAGTAATAGAATATAAAACATATATTAAAATATAATCTTAATAATATTATTATCCCTCAATTTACAGATGACAAAGCTGAGGCACGGAACAATTAAGTACTCATCCAAAATCACACTGCTGTACGTGGCACAGCCAGGACACAAAGCCAGGTAGTCTGGCTCTAGAGTCTGTGGGCTTAATCCTGCACTATTTGCCTCTCTCAACATTCTGCTGCCTTCACATAATCATTAAATGTATTTTTAACTTACAAAAATTAAATTTAAAACATGAATGAGCTAGTATAGGTGGCTTTCTTTTTCTTTTTCTTTATTTATTTTATTATACTTTATGTTCTGGGATACATGTGCAGAACATACAGGTTTGTTACACAGGTATACAAATGCCATGGTGGTTTGCTGCACCCATCAAACCATCATCTACATTAGGTATTTATCCTAATGCTATCCCTTCCCTAGCCCTCCACCATGTGAAAGGCCCCGGTGTGTGATGTTCCACTCCCTGTGTCCATGTGTTCTCATTGTTCAACTCCCACTTATGAGTGAGAACATGTGGTGTTTGATTTTCTGTTCCTGTGTTAGTTTGCTGAGAATGATGGTTTCCAGCTTCATCCACGTCCCTGCAAAGGACATGAACTCATACTTTTTATGGCTGTGTAGTATTCCATGGTGTATATGTGCCACATTTTCTTTACCCAGTCTATCATTGATGTGCATTTGGATTGGTTCCAAGTCTTTGCTATTGTGAACAGTGCTTCAGTAAACATACATGTGCATGTGTCTTTATAGTAGAATGATTTGTAATCCTTTGGGTGTATACCCAGAAATGGGATTCGTGGGTCAAATGGTATTTCTGGTTCTAGATCCTTGAGGAATCGCCACACTGTCTTCCACAATGGTTGAACTAGTTTACACTCCCAACAGTGTAAAAGTGTTCCTATTTCTCCACATCCTCTCCAGCATCTGTTATTTCCTGACTTTTAAATGATCACCATTCTAACTGGCATGAGATGGTATCTCATTGTGGTTTTGATTTGTATTTCTCTGATGACCAGTGATGATGAGCTTTTTTTCATATGTTTGTTGGCCACATAAATGTCTTTTTTTGAGAAGTGTCTGTTCATATCCTTCGCCCACTTTTGAATGGGTATTTTTTTCTTGTAAATTTGTTTAAGCTCTTTGTAGATTGTGGATATTAGCCCTTTGTCAGATGGATAGATTGCAAAAACTTTCTCCCATTCTGTAGGTTTCCTGTTCACCCTGATGATAGTTTCTTTTGCTGTGCAGAAGCTCTTGAGTTTAATTAGATCTAATTTGTCAATTTTGGCTTTTGTTGCCATTGCTTTTGGTGTTTTAGTCATGAAGTCTTTGCCTATGCCTATGTCCTGAATGGTATTGCCTAGGTGTTCTTCTAGGGTTTGTATGGTTTTAGGTCTTACGTTTAAGTCTTTAATGCATCTTGAGTTAATTTTTGTATAAGGTGTAAGGAAAGGTTCCAATTTCAATTTTATGCATATGGCTAGCCAATTTTCCCAGCATTATTTATTAAATAGGGAATCCTTTCCCTATTTCTTGTTTTTGTCAGGTTTGTCAAAGATCTGATGGTTGTAGATGTGTGGTGTTATTTCTGAGGTCTCTATTTTGTTCCATTGGTCTATGTATCTGTTTTGGTACCAGCATCATGCCGTTTTGGTTACTATAGCCTTGTAGTATAGTTTGACGTCAGGTAGGGTGATGACTCCAGCTTTGTTTTTTTTGCTTAGGATTGTCTTGGTTATATGGGCTCTTTTTTGGTTCCATATAAAATTTAAAATAGTTTTTTCTAATTCTGTAATGAAAGTCAATGGTAGCTTGATGGGGATAGCATTGAGTCTATAAATTACTTTGGGCAGTATGGCCATTTTCACGATATTGATTCTTCCTATCCATGAGCATGGGATGTTTTTCCATTTGTTTGTGTCCTTTTTTATTTTCTTGAGCAGTGGTTTGTAGTTCTCCTTGAAGAGGTCCTTCACATCCCTTGTAAGTTGGATTCCTAGGTATTTTATTCTCTTTGTAGCAATTGTGAATGGGAGTTCACTTATGATTTGGCTCTCTGTTTGTCTATTATTGGTGTATAGGAATGCTTGTGATTTTCGTACATTGATTTTGAATCTTGAGATTTTGCTGAAGTTGCTTATCAGCTTAAGGAGATTTTGGGCTCAGATGATGGGGTTTTCTAAATATACAATCATGTCATCTGCAAACAGGGACAATTTGACTTCTTTTGTTCCTATTTGAATACCTTTATTTCTTTCTCTTGCCTGATTGCCCTGGTCAGAAATTCCCATACTATGTTGAATAGGAGTGGTGAGAGAGGGCCTCTTTATCTTGTGCCAGTTTTCAAAGGGAATGCTTCCAGCTTTTGCCCATTCAGTATGATACTGACTATGGGTTTGTCATAAATAGCTCTTATTATTTTGAGATACATTCCATCAATACCTAGTTTATTGACAGTTTTTAGCATGAAGGGGTGTTGAATTTTATTGAAGGCTTTTTCTTCATCTATTGAGATAATCATGTGGTTCTAGTCATTGATTCTGTTTATATGATGGATTATGTTTATTGATTTGCATATGTTGAACCAGACTTGCCTCCCAGGGATGAAGCCGACTTGATGGTGATGAATAAGCTTTTTGATGTGCTGCTGGATTCAGTTTGCAAGTATTTTATTGAGGATTTTCACATCGATGTTTATCAGGGATATTGGCCTGAAATTTTCTTTTTTTGTTGTGTCTCTGTCAGGTTTTGGTATCAGGATGATGCTGCCTTATAAAATGAATTAGGGAGGATTCCCTCTTTTTCTATTGATTGGAATAGTTTCAGAAGGAATGGTACCAGCAACTCTTTGTACCTCTGGTAGAATTCAGCTCTGAATCCATCTGGTCCTGGGCTTTTGTTGGTTGGTGGGCTATTAATTACTGCCTCAATTTCAGAACTTGTTATTGGTCTATTCAGGGATTTGACTTCTTCCTGGTTTAGTCTTGGGAGGGTGTATGTGTGCAGAAATTTGTCAATTTCTTCTAGATTTTCTAGTTTATTTGTGTGGAGGTGTTTATAGTATTCTCTGATGGTACTTTGTATTTCTGTGGGATCAGTGGTGATATCCCCTTTATAATTTTTTATTGTGTCTATTTGATTCTTCTCTCTATTCCTTCTTTATTAGTCTGGCTACCAGCCTATCTGTTTTGTTGATCTTTTCAAAAAACCAGCTCCTGGATTCGTTAATTCTTTTGAAGGGGTTTTGTGTCCGTATCTCCTTCAGTTCTGCTCTGATCTTGGTTATTTCTTGTCTTCTGCTAGCTTTTGAATTTGCTTACTTTTCCTTCTCTAATTCTTTTAGTTGATTTTAGATCTTTCTTTCTTTCTCTCATGGGCATTTAGTGCTAAAAATTTCCCTCTAAACGCTGCATTAGCTGTGTCCAAGAGATTCTGGCATGTTGTTTCTTTGTTCTCATTGGTTGCTAAGAGCTTATTTATTTCTGCCTTAATTTCATTATTTACCCAGTAGTCATTCAGGAGCAGGTTATTTACGTTTCCATGTAGTTGTGTGGTTTTGAGTGAGTTTTTTAATCCTGAGTTCTAATTTGATTGCACTGTGGTCTGAGAGACTGTTTGTTAGGATTTCCATTGTTTTGCATTTGCTGAGGAGTGTTTTACTTCCAATTATGTGGTCAATTTTAGAATAACTGTGATGTGGTGCTGAGAAGAATGTATATTCTGTTGATTTGGGGTGGACAGCTCATCTACGAGCTGCTTGGTCCAGAGCTGAGTTCAAGTCTTGAATATCCTTATAAATTTTCTGTCTCATTGATCTGTCTAATATTGACAGTGGTGTGTTAAAGTCTCCCATTATTATTGTGTGGGAGTCTAAGTCTTTTTGTAGTTCTCTAAGAACTTGCTTATGAATCTGGGTGCTTCTGTATTGGTTGCATATATATTTAGGATAGTTAGTTATTCTTGTTGCATTGATCCCTTTACTATTATGTAATGCCCTTCTTTGTCTTTTTTGATCTTTGTTGGTTTAAAGTCTATTTTATCAGAGACTAGGATTGCAACCCCTGCTTTTATTTTTTTGCTTTCCATTTTCTTGGTAAACCTTCCTCCATTACTTTATTTTCAGCCTATGTGTGTCTTCGCACATGAAATGGGTCTCCTGAATACAGCACACTGAGGGGTCTTGACTCTTTATCCAATTTGCCAATCTGTGTCTTTTAATTGGGGCATTTAGCCCATTTACATTTAAGGTTACTATTGTTATGTGTGAATTTGATCCTGTCATTATGATGCTAGTTGGTTGTTTTGCCCATTAATTGATGCAGCTTCTTCATATTGTTGATGGCCTTTACAATTTATGTTTTTGCAGTGGCTGGTATGGGTTTTTCCTTTCCATATTTAGTGCCTCCTTCAGGAGCTCTTGTAAGGCAGGCCTGGTGGTGACAAAGTCTCTCAGCATTTGCTTGCCTGTAAAGGTTTTTATTTCTCCTTCACTTATGAAGCTTAGTTTGGCTGCATATGAAATTCTGTGTTGAAAATTCTTTTCTTTAAGAATGTTGAATATTGGCCTTCACTCTCTTCTGGCTTGTAGGGTTTCTGCAGAGAGATCTGCTCTTAGTCTGATGGGCTTTCCTTTGTGGGTAACCTGATCTTTCTCTCTGGCTGCCCTTAACATTTTTTCCTTCATTTTAACCTTCATGAATCTGATGATTATGTGTCTTTGGGTTGCTCTTCTAGAGGAGTCTCCTTGTGGTGTTTTCTGTATTTTCTGAATTTGAATGTTGGCCTGTCTTGCTAGGTTGGGGAAGTTCTCCTGGATAATATCCTGCAGAGTGTTTTCCAACTTGGTTCCATTCTCCTCATCACTTTCAGGTACACCAATCAAATGTAGGTTTCATCTTTTCACATGGTCCCATATTTCTTGGAGGCTTTGTTCGTTCCTTTTCATTTTTTTTCCCTCTAATTTTGTCCTCACACTTTATTTCATTAAGTTGATCTTCAATCTCTGGTATCCTTTCTGCCACTTGATTGCCTTGGGTATTGATACTTGCGTATGCTTCATGAAGTTCTCGTGCTGTGTTTTTCAGCTCCATCAGGCTATTAATGTTCTTCTCTAAACTGGTTATTCCAGTTAGCAATTCCTCTAACATTTTTTCAAGGTTCTTAGCTTCCTTGCATTGGGTTAGAATATGCTCCTTTAACTCAGAGGAGTTTGTTATTACCCACCTCTGAAGCCTACTTCTGTCAATTCATCAAACTCATTCTCCGTCCAATTTTGTTCCCTTGCTGGTGAGGAGTTGTGATCCTTTGGAGGAGAAGAGGTATTCTGGTTTTTGGAATTGTCCACCTTTTTACACTGGTTTTTCCTCATCTTCATGGATTTATCTACCTTTGCTCTTTGATGTTGGTGACCTTTGGATGGGGTTTCTGTGTGGACGTTCTTTTTGTTGATGTTGATGCTATTACTTTCTGTGTGTTGTTTTCCTTCAGGCCCCTTTGCGGCAGGTCTGCTGGAGTTTGCCGGAGGTCCACTCCAGACCCTGTTTGCCTGGGTATCACCAGCAGAGGCTGCAGAACAGCAAAGATTGCTGCCTTTTCCTTCCTTTGAAAGCTTCATTTCAGAGGGGCACCTGCCAGATGCCAGCCAGAGCTCTCCTGTATGAGGTGTCTGTCAACCCCTGCTGGGAGGTGTCTCCCAGTAAGGAGCCACGGGGGTCAGGGACCCACTTGAGGAGGTAGTCTATCCCTTAGCAGAGCTTGAGCGCTGTGCTGGGAGATCTGCTGCTCTCTTCAGAGCTGGCAGGCAGGAATGTTTAAGTCTGCTGAAGCTGCGCCCATAGCTGCCCCTACCCCCAGCTGCTCTGTCCCAGGGAGATGAGAGTTTTATCTATAAACCCCTGACTGGGGCTGCTGCCTTTCTTTCAGAGATGCCCTGCCCTGAGAGGAGGAATCTAGAGAGGCAGTCTGGCTACAGTGGCTTTGCTGAGCTGCGGTGGGCTCTGCCCAGTTCAAGCTTCCTAGTGGCTTTGTTTACACTGTGAGGGGAAAACCCCCTACTGAAGCCTCAGTAATGGTAAACGCCCCTCCCCCCACCAAGCTTGAGCATCCTAGGTCAACTTCAGACTGCTGTGCTGGCAGTAAGAATTTCAAGCCAGTGGATCTTAGCTTGCTGGGCTCCATGGGGGTGGGATCCTCTGAGCTAGACCATTTGGCTCCCTGGCTTCAGCCCCCTTTCCATGGGAGTGAATGGTTCTGTCTCACTGGCATTCCAGGTGCCACTGGGGTATAAAAAAAAACTCCTGAGCTAGCTCGGTGTCTGCCCAAATGGACACCCAGTTTTGTGCTTGAAACCTAGGGCCCTGGTGGCATAGGCACCTGAGGGAATCTCCTGGTTTGTGGGTTGTGAAGACTGTGGGAAAACCATAGTATCTGGGCTGGAATGCACCGTTCCTCATGGCACAGTCCCTTACTGCTTCCCTTGGCTAGGGGAGGGAGTTCCCTGACCTCTTGTGCTTCCTGGGTGAGGCAATGCCCCACCATGCTTCGGCTCACCCTCCATGTGCTGCATCCACTGTATAACCAGTCCCAGTGAGATGAGCCGGGTACCTCAGTTGGAAATGCAGAAATCACCTGCCTTCTGCTTTGATCTTGCTGGGAGGTGCAGACTGGAGCTGTTCCTATTTGGCCATCTTGCCAGCCACCTAGACATCTTTTTCTTAATTAGAAATGTTATTTTCTATTCAATCTTTCTTTTACTCTACCACAAAGCAATAAGGTTTCTTTTTTGAAATAAATAATATTTGAAAAAAATATGTTTGATATGATCATGTTCATGTAGAAATGTGTATTTAAGTCTGCATTTTAAAATTAAATAATTTTTAAGAAAAGATTAGGCCTTAGAAGCGGGCACACAAAGTTGAAGATAGTGGTCTGTGAGTGAGGTTCTGAGTGTTTTCTATTTTCTGCCTTTTGCTTGTCTATGGTTCCTTTTTATTTTCCCACTAATGAACATATTTTGTTCCTGTAAAATGAAAAACACAACAGCAATATGTGAATGTGCCTACCATGCAAATATGTATAAAGTTTATGCTTTTGTAAGAGTTGCTTTTAAGGATAAATAGAGGAAATCACAAATAGAGGTCAGGGAAAATATATCTTCTTACACTGTTTTATAGTTTTGCTTCTTAAAACTGTAGAGCTCATGCATCAAGTAGACTGGAAGGTCTTCTGATACTCAAATTTGGGTATTTTCATCCTTGATCCACTTCAATAAGAGCAGATCTCAGAGAACAAATAAACTTTTCTATTCCAACATTCTCCTTCCTGCAATACTAGTCCACTGTGTTTCTTGCCTGCCAGTCTTCTCAGCTAGGTTTCTTTTTCATGAGCAAATGAGTATAGGTGGCTTTCCTTTTTCTTAATTAGCAATTTTATTTTGTATTCAATCTTTCTTTTACTCTACCACAAAAGAATAAGATTTCTCTTTTGAAATAAATAATGTTCTTTGCCTCATCTATTAACTGGATGTGATACATTTATTTCATGAAGTTATCTTGGGTCCTTCAGGGAAGCCACCTTTATTCAGAACAATCTGAATTATATGCATTGATAAACCAATCAGTTGTGATTCATCCAAGGCGATAGAATTTACAAGGGCTTCAAGGTGGCTGTCACACTAAACTCTGGGCAATGTTAATGTTGGGCTAACTGAAAATTATAACTAGGACATTTCTTGAACTTATTTTCCATTAGCACAGGCAGGTAAAATTGGTTCTCTTCATTTTATAAACGTCATTCTTCAAAAAGAATCTGGTAGTACAAGATGACTTGCTTGCTTTCTGAATATTTTAATTCTGGATTGTTATATGTTTTGCTGGTAAGTTATTTAAGTTATTTTAATTGATCATATTGTTTTTAAAAATGAGATTTTAAAAATATTTTTATTTTTTCTTAATTTGGGGGGAACATGCACAGGTTTGTTTCAAGGGTATATTGTGTGATGCTGAGGTTTGAGCTTCTATTTATCTGATCACCCAGATAGTGAACCAAGTGCCAAATAGAAAGTTTTTAAAGCCTTGCCCCTCTCCCTCTCTCCTTTTAGAGTTCCCAGTGTCTATTGTTCCCATTTTTATGCATGTGTATAACCAAGATTTAGCACTCACTTATAAGTGAGAACATGTGATATTTGATTTTCTATTTCTGTATTAATTCGCTTAGGATAATGGCTTGTAGGTGCATCTGTGTTGCTGCAAAGGACATAATCTCATTCTTTTTTTTTTTTTTTGAGATGGATTCTGACTCTGTCGCCCAGGCTGGAGTGCAGTGGCGCTATCTCAGCTCACTGCAGGCTCTGCCTCCCGGGTTCACACCATTCTCCTGCCTCAGCCTCCCGAGTAGCTGGGACTACAGGTGCCCACCACCACGCCTGGCTAATTTTTTGTATTTTTAGTAGAGACGGGGTTTCACCATGTTAGCCAGGATGGTCTCGATCTCCTGATCTTGTGATCCACCCACCTTGGCCTCCCAAAGTGCTGGGATTACAGGCGTGAGCCACCATGCCTGGCCGATCTCATTCCTTTTTTATGGCTGCATAGTATTCCATGGTGTATAAATACCACATTTTCTTTATCCAGTCCACTGTTGATGGGCACCTACGTTGATTCTCTGTCTTTGCTGTTGTGAACAGTGCTGTAACGAACATACAGTGCACGTGTCTTTTTGGTGGAATGATTTATATTCTGTTGGGTATGTAACTATAATGGGATTACTGGATTAAATGGTAGTTCTATTTTTAGTTCTTTGAGAAATCTTCAAACTGCCTTCCACAGTGGCTGAACTAATTTACACTCCCACCAGCAGTGTATAGGCATTCCCTTTTCTCCATAGCCTTGCCAACATCTGTTAGTTTTTGACTTTTTAGTAATAGCCATTCTGACTGATGTGAGATGGTATCTCATTGTGGTTTTAATTTGCACCTCTCTGCTAATTAGTGATGTTGAGCATTTTTTCATGTTAGTTGGCTGCTTATATGTCTTCTTTTAAGAAGTGTCTTTTCATGTCCTTTGCCCACTTTTTAAATGAGGTTCTTTGTTTTTTTCTCATTGAGTTTAAGTTCCTTGTAGATTCTGGATATTAGACCTTTGTTGTTTGCATAGTTTGCAAATATTTTCTCCCATTCTGTTGGTAGTCTGTTTACTCTGTTGATAGTTTCTTTTGCTGTGCAGAAGCTCTTTAGTTGAATTAGTTCCCGCTTGTCAAATTTTGTTTTTGTTGTAACTACTTTTGGAGACTTTGTCATGAAATCTTTGCTAAGGCCTATGTCTAGAAAGGTATTTCTTAGATTTTTTTTCCTAGGGTTTTTATAGTTTTAGGTCTTACATTTAAGTCTTTATTCCATTTTTGAGTTGATTTTTGTATATTATGAAAGAAGGGGTTCAGTTTCAATCTTCCGCCATCTTCTGTATATGGCTAGCCACTTATCCCAAAACCATTTATTGAATAGGGACTTCTTTCTCTATTGCATGTTATCTTTGACTTTGTTGAATGTCAGAGGGTTGTAGGTGTGCAGCTTTATTTCTGGGTTCTCTAGGTCTATGTGTCTGTTTTTGTACCAGTACCATGCTGTTTTGGCTACTGTAGCCTTGTAGTATAGTTTGAAATCAGGTAGTGTGATGCCTCTGTTCTTTTTGCTTAGGATTGCTTTGGCTATTTAGGCTCTTTTTTGGTTCCATTTGAATGTTAGAATAGTTTTTTTCTAATTCTGTGCAAAATGACAGTGGTAGTTTGATAGTAATAGCATTGAATCTGTAAATTGGTTTGGGCAGTATGGCCAATATAACAATATTGATTCTTCTTATCCATGAGCATGGAATTTTTTTATTTGTTTGTGTCATTTCTGATTTCTTTCAGCAGTGTTTTGTAATTCTTACTGCAGATAATTTACTTCCCCAGTTAGCTATATTCCTAGGTATTTTAATCTTTTTGTGGGATTACCAATTTTCTAGCAAAATGTTAAATATTAACTCATGAACATTAATCCTTTTGGAATGAGATTTTTTCTAAAATATATTACTAAATATTTTACATTTTCCTACCACTATATTTTTTGATAATTTTGTCTATTTCCTTTTTAAATCAAATATATAAATTAACTTTATTGTTAAATATAGAAAATAATTTATCAAATGACTATAATGTTTATAAGCACACAAGTAATTATGTTCTCTGAAACATTCTGCATACTTTGTAATGAACAATAACTCTTTAAAAAGTATTTCAGGTGATTGTATTTAGAATCAAAGTCTTCAGCATTTACATAAGGTCAAGGAGAAGTAGTTATTGGACATGTTCCAAAGGAGCTAAACAGATTTTAGTGGGTGACTAAACTATAACTGGTAATTTATATTGCTTGGTCTTTTATGATACAATGTCCTTTCCATTTTGAGTTCTTAAATCCACTTCACCCCAAATTTTAGATATTAAAAAAATTATTTCTACCATTGCCATTTCACCTGCCATAAAAAATGCTCATTCTTAGCAATAGTTAAGTATATAATATCTAAATAATTGAAAAAAAAGACTCAAATATTTTAATTGAATTCATTGG